>NT_167246.2:3720796-3889472 GCF_000001405.40 Homo sapiens
GAAAGTGCCTTAACCTCCTGGGAATGCAGCCCAGTAGCTCTCAGCCTCATTGTACCCAGCCCCTATTCAAGATGGAGTTGCTCCGGCTCAAACACCTCTGACATTTGTGGACACGTAGAAAAGGATAATTAATGGGTTAGCAGGATGAAAGGAAAACTATACCCCAAAGGATAGCCTAGCCATTGAAATTGATATGAACTGGAATATGAAAATAATTGGGGACAATTTAGTTTCATGACCATATATAAAACATTTAACTATGTCTGGTTGTATTTTAACATAAAATTGGGCATGGGAAACTATTTTTAAAATATTCTTTATTTTTTAAATTGACCTGGATTTTTCTTTCAACTTTTATTATTTTAAAAATTAGTTTAAGCCTAGCAGATTTCACATAATTTCAGACTCCTTTTGGCAAACAGTAAACATTACAGCCTGGAAAGCTTGATTGCTTATATATAAAACCCTAAGAGAGCTATTGAAAATGCCTAGAATGTGTGAATTTAACAATGGTAAAATACAAAAACAAATTGTAATTCTATACACCACAGCAGAATATCATATATAAAATTTAAAAATCACTTCATTATGACAGCAATAAAAACATAAAATACTTAGACATAAACTGAACCGAAAGATGTGTGATGTGAAACTATAAAATACTGATGAGAGAAACTGATAAAATTCTAAATGTGTAAAGAGATATAATATATTTTGATTTGGGAAGAATTGATATTTTTGAAATAACAGTTCTCAACACGATCTTGATCAATATTCCCACTGGGTTTCTTTGTGGCAATAGACAATTCTAAAATTTATATGAAAATACAAAGGATCTACAATAGCCAAAACTTATTTGAAAAAGGACAGAAGAAATATGCAAAGCTTGGTTTCAAGTCATGCTTCAAAGCTATGGGCAACATGTCAAGGCTAGTAATGTAAGTTAGAGAAACTTCAACAAAGAATTGTGCTTAGTTGTGGGAATCCATGGGAGATTCTGGAATGAAGATGCATAGGAAACAAATGCAAGAGATGAGTCCTGGGCCCTCAGTCATTTAGAAGTTGGGAAGATGGGAGACTTGGCAAGGCAGGCTGAGATCTGGCTGTTATTCTCGTGTGATGAGAATCTCAAGACAGTGAGGTTTAGTAACAAGTCAAGAAAATACATCAATGATGCAGTAGTGGTTAACTACATAAAATGCTTCTGATATGATGAATAAAATGACATCCTAGAGATGACCATTGGATTTGGCAACATGGAGCTAACACATGTCAGTGACAAGGAGTTCAGTTAAAGATGTGGACTGTAGCCTGATCTGTGAAGAGTGGAAGAAGAATGGGGAGGAATGGAAATAACAGGTGCAGCCCAATATTTTTAAGAGTTTCCTTCAGATTAGAAGTAAAAATTCATTAGCAGAGTTGGATTTAGGGAAAAGGAAATGCCGTGGCATGTTTATATGCTGATTGGAATCACTCACTAGAGAGAGGAAATTTTTTTGGTAAACTGGATAAAGATACTTACAACATATTAAACCATGAAAAGGATTAGTACCCAGAACATAGAAAGGCCTCCTACAAATCAATTAGTAAAGGACTATATTTTTCTGAGAAAAAAAATGGTAAAGGCAAGAAGAAACATTTTATAGTAACATGTATAAATGACATGTGAATATGTGAAAAAATTTCAAACTCTTCATTATAAGTCAGAGAAATGTAAATAAACGCCACACTGAAAAAACAATAAAAATATCAAAACCTAGCAAGGATGTGGGTCAATGTTTCTACCAACAGACTTCTGAAGGAAATAGAAATTGTTAGGATCATTTTGGAAAACAAGTCAGCATAACATAGTAAGGTTGAAAATATATATACATTATCATACTACATTACTACTACAATGCTACTCTAGAACATACATCAAGAACTATTGCAAGTTCATTACAACTTCATTCCTAATAGCAAAACATCAAAACAACTTAAGTATCCATTAACAACTGAATAACTTTATATATTTTCATATCAATTATAGTTATTTATACTATATAGTTATTTATAGTTAAATTCATAAATGGAAATAGCTTTTTTTTTTGAGACGGAGTCTTGCTCTGTTGCCCAGGCTGGAGTGCAGTGGCATGATCTCGGCTCACTGCAAGCTCTGCCTTCCGGGTTCACACCATTCTCCTGCCTCAGCCTTCCCAGTAGCTGGGACTACAGGCGCCCGCCACCACGCCCGGCTAATTTTTTGTATTTTTAGTAGAGACGAGGTTTCACCATGTTAGCTAGGGTGGTCTCGATCTCCTGACCGCGTGATCCTCCCGCCTTGGCCTCCCAAAGTGCTGGGATTACAGGCGTGAGCCACCACGCCCGGTCAGAAATAGCTTTTTTAGGGCTGGTAAAATGGCCTTCATCTAGATTTTCTCATGCTTGTTTGTGAATTGGCTCCCCTCTCGATGAGCTGGTGCACTATCATTATGAGTTTTGTGCAACATTGAGTTCTTGCTTGGCAAGTTTTGTAGAATTTCTTTCCTGGGTTTTGCATGCTGAAAACATGGCTTCATTGGGCATTGGTAAATCAAACGGAGAGGAGGCAGTGCGGCAAGTACAAAGACCATAGTTACAATACTCTAAACCAAAAATATCTGAGACAGATCTCAATCAATTTAGAAGTTTATTTTGCTAGGGTTTAAGACAATGCCCAGAAGACAAGTCTGTGGCTTTCTCCAAAGATGATTTAGAAGCCTTCAATATTTAAAGGTGAAAAGCAGACTGGAGGGAGAATTGAATAGCTCCAATAGTGTACTTTCCTTGGTAATTTTCACTCTTCCTTGGACTATCACATAGGTTGAAACTCTGATATATGTCAAGGTTGTAAACCAAAAAGTGTCTGAGACAGGTCTTAAGCAATTTAGAAGTTTATTTTCCCAAGGTTAGGGACATGCTGGAAAGAAAAAATCATCAAATGACACAGGCAATCTGGTCTGTGTCTTTCTCCAAAGATGATTTCAATATTTAAAGGGGAAAAGTGGGCTGACAGGGAAAGAGAGAAGGTATGGCAATCCACATGTTGCAAGGAAAAAGGGGCAGGTAGGGGAAGAGTCAGTTATGTATTCATCTTGCTCTCAGTAAATCATCGCTTTGCATATGATTAGGTGAACATAGAGTAGCTACCGGTGGGGATATTTTTAACCTTTTATCTGTAGCTATCTGCTTGGAAACCAAAGGAAAGGCAATTTCTTGCGTGACTCAGCTTTCACCTTAATTCTTTCCTTTTGACATGGTGAATTGGGGTGCCAAATTTTTAGTTTCCTTTCACAATTTATACAAAACACAACTCAACAGACATCCTCATATCCCAGTGTATGTGGCGGCTCTGGATTCTATTCCTGCTCACCTGGACCTGATTGATCTGATATAGGCAGCTTGGAAACTACTTAGGTAGATGGTGGGGAGGGAAACGTTCCAGCTAACCATGAGCAAGTAAAATACAACTTCACATCCATCATTATCCAGCCCCAAATCATCCAACATCTAGATAATTCCTTAGAGTAAGGGAACAAGATAATGGCCACAACCAAGTAGGAAAGAATCACGTATACAGACGATTTTCATTCCCAAAGATCAGAAGATGTAAATGCAAAGAGAAAAAGTGCTTCCTACGATGCCAGCTCCAGCTTGATAAGAATATATGCTATTTATTATGTGAGGGGGAAACATGTTCAATACAGCTAGCTGCTTCAGCTTCCATGTGGTGTTTGATACCTGTGTTCCTTTTCATTTGGCTCAACTTCCATTAAGCACAAAAACCCCACAAAATGTTCAAAGGGCTAGAGGGACAAATTTGGATTTCATGCCTCACAAATAAAGGAAGGACTCCATAAGATAAAAATACGCTTTCCATAGAAACCTTGGAAGTCTAATATGTGGAATAAGGTGAAACAGAAACAGATCATCCTTCATAGGAACTGAATCCTGAGTTCTAACTAACTAATCCTAGACTAGATTTGGGTGATTTGAGATATTAATGACCTTAGCCTCATAGCCTCATTGCCTGACACAAGCAAAACTAAATAACCTCTAGAGAAATATAATATTTCCTGGAGCCTCAAATTATCACTCATATTTTTCTTCTGCATGGCATCAATTAAAAAATATATAAGAAAACAAAAAATAATAAAATCCAAGAAAAACATAACAGAACATAAATATATGACTTTGACTTCTCTGTGGGATACTGCTAGATTAACTCAACACTCCCAGTACACCAGCTAGAAAAGTTAAAAATTTAAAACACAAAATTCGTACTTTAAAGGAAAAGGAGAGCTGTGGAAGCAACATGCACTAGATGAAATACAATTGCAGAGAATAGGTGATCCTTTTGAGGTGAGCTGACAATCACAGCTCTTCCCCTGCCACCCATGGGGCATTTGCCAATTCATTGTTCATACAGAAGAGGTGTCATGGGCTCAGGAGGGAATCTGCTGGAGAAAGGGAAACCAAGCAAGGGACACAGGGACAGACTAAGAAATTAGATATTTGAGGTTCTCAAATTCTCAAATTCATGGCGTGATTTCCCCACAAGATATTTCTTGAGCTGTGGTGCAGCACTGAGCTATGAGCCAGGCCCCAAACTCCAAAGGCAGAATGAGGACTCCTCCATGTTGCTTGTGTTCAGGACACGGAGAACTGCCTTCAGCCTGGGTCTGTCGAGCACAAGGTGGGTCTCCCCGTTTTCACATGTGCCTGCTCCTGAAGCCACCTGAGAAGGAGGCCAGGGAGCTGGGCCAGCAAGTACTGAAGTTCAGGGCTGAATCTCTCACTGACATTTGTAGGAACAGAGACCTACCTGGGTCTTAATTAAAAGCTCTGGAAGGAGAGTCATGGCCTCTGGTATTGACGGAGTAGTTTGTATTGAAATACCCCTCTTGCTGGTAACAATGATAAATTCTGGACCACCTTCATTTTCCAATTTATTTCATTGTGTTGTGATAAGAACACCTTACATGAAATATACCCTCTTTACAAGTTTTTAACTACAACACAGTATTGTTAACTATAGGCACAATGTTGTATAGTAGATCTCTAGAACTTATTCATCTTGCATAACTAAAATGTTATATTGGTTGAACAGTAACTCCCCCATTTACCTTGCCCCCAGTCTCTGGCAACCACCAACCTATTCTCTGTTTCTATGAGATTGGCTACCTAGACACCTCATATAAGTGGGATTGAAGCAGCCTCGTTTGTCTGGGGTGACCTGAGGTTTGTTGTCTCGTGGCCATAGAGATCAAGGATGCAGACACACAAAAAGTAAGGCTAAGAGTGGAAATTTAAAGAATGTCTTTATTCCTGTCTTCGTTTTGTTATTTACCCAGTAGTCATTCAGGAGCAGGTTGTTCAGTTTGCATGTATTTGTGTGGTTTTGAGTGACTTTCATAATCCTGAGTTCTAATTTGATTGCACTGTGGTCTGAGAAACTGTTATGATTTCCATTCTTTTGCATTTGCTGAGGAGTGTTTTACTTCCAATTATGTGGTCAATTTTAGAACAAGTGCGATGTGGTGCTGAGAAGTATGTATATTCTGTTGATTTGGGGTGGAGAGTTCTGTAGATGTCTATTAGGTCTGCTTGGTCCAGAGCTAAGTTCAAGTCCTGAATATCCTTGTTAATTTTCTGTCTTGTTGATCTGTCTAATATTGACAGTGGAGTGTTGAAGTCTCCCACTATTATTATGTGGGAGTCTAAGTCTCTTTGTAGATCTCTAAGAACTTGCTTTATGAATCTGGGTGCTCCTGTATTGGGTGCATATATATTTAGGATAGTTAGCTCTTTTTGTTGAATTAATCCCTTTACCATTGTGTAATGCCCTCTTTTGTCTCTTTTGATTTTTGCTGGTTTAAAGTCTGTTCTATCAGAGGTGTTTATAGTATTCTCTGATGGTAGTTTGTATTTCTGTGGGATCAGTGGTGATATCCCCTTTATCATTTTTATTGCATCTATTTGATTCTTCTCTCATTTCTTCTTTATTAGTCTGGTTAGCGGTCTATCTATTGATCTTTTTTTACAAAAAAAAAAAAACCCAGCTCCTGGATTCATTGATTTTTTGAAGGGTTTTTCATGTCTCTATCTCCTTCAGTTATGCTCTGATCTTAGTTATTTCTTGCCTTCTGCTAGCTTTTGAATTTGTTTGCCCTTCTCTAGTTCTTTTAATTGTGATGTTAGGATGTTGATTTTAGATCTTTTCTGCTTTCTCTTGTGGGCATTTAGTGCTATAAATTTCCCTCTACACACTGCTTTAAATGTGTCCCAGAAATTCTGGTATGTTGTGTCTTTGTTCTCACTGCCTGAAAGGAATTTAACCCATAAGGAGGCCAAGTCAATGCTAGCTTTCAAGGCTTTTAAGTACAGATAACGGTCTTGCTTGAGGGCAATGTTGCAGGCTACAAATTAAAGCCCTTTGTGATCCAGCAAGGTGAAAACCCCAGGACCTTCCTTTAAGAATATAAAAAGAGGCCAGATACGGTGGCTCACGCCTGTAATCCCAGCACTTTGGGAGGCCGAGGTGGGCGGATCACGAGGTCAGGAGATCAAGACCATCTTGGCTAACACAGTGAAACCCTGTCTCTACTAAAAATACAAAAAGTTAGCCGGGTGTGGTGGTGGGCACCTGTAGTCCCAGCTACTCAGGAGGCTGAGGCAGGAGAATGGTGTGAATCTGGGAGGTGGAGCTTGCAGTGAGCCGAGATCATGCCACTGCATTCCAGTCTGGAAGACAGAACTAGATTCCATAAAAAAAAAAAAAAAAAAATATATATATATATATATATATATATATAAAGTATATCCTGCCAGTACACTACAGGTGTAATAAAACATCATGGATGACCCATCTCCTCTTCCATGATTACATCCTAAATTGCTATGCCAGAGAAATAGAGAGGCATTGTCTGAAAAATACCATAACTTTCAAGATTTTGTTTATGGTTATTTGTTCTCCTGCACATCCTCCTGTTATTAATGATCTTTATCCCAATATCGAAGTGGTGCTTCTCCCTCTTTAATCCAACCAATGGATCAAGGAATTATAGCAGCTTTTAAGGTTTACTATCTGAAGAGGGCCTTTGCCCATGTTATTATGGTAACTCAGGAAGACACTGAGAAGACAGTGATGCAATTCTGGAAGGATAACAACAGCTATGGCTACATCAAGAACCTTGCTTGGGATGGGGATGATGTCACCGAGGAGTGTGTGAATGGCATCTGGAAGAAGACACTCAGGAGGTTTGTCTGTGAGTTCAAAGGGTTTGCCAAGGATGAGGAGATTGCAAAAATCTACAAGGCTTTGGTTGAGATGGCAAACAACTTTAAACTGAGTACGGATGAGGATGGCATTAGGAGCTCCTAGAGGTAGTTCCTTGGAATTGACTAATGAGGAGTTGTTGGAACTGAGACAGGAATGCATAGTTGAAGTAGTGGTCAGAAAAAAAGGAAACTGAAGGAGAAGAAGAAGAAGAACCCCAAATAAAATTCCCTGTGCAGGGTTTAGCAGGAGCTTTTGCAGACCTCAACAAGCTCCTTAAAAATTTGAAAACATGAACCCCAGCACAACAAGGTTTTCATTAATAAAGAGGAATGTTCACGGTGAATCATCTGCTTATAAGCAAATCTATGATGAAAAAAGGAAACCAAGCAAACCATCATGGACCTGTTTCTGAAGAGTGACACCTCCTCAAGAAGAGCCTCAAGCAGGTCCTTCAGGAGGAATTCCAGAAGAAAGTGTAGTTATCATAGGAGATGGCCTCTCCATGTGTGCTATGGCCCCTGAAGACATTTTGGTAGGACAAGATGTGGAAGTGGGAAACAGTGATATTGATGATCCTGACTCTGAGTAGGCCTAGGCTAATGTGTGTGTTTCTTAGATTTTTTTTTAAGTTTAAAAAGTGAAAAAAAAAAATTAAGTAGAAAAAAGCTCATAGTATAAGGATATAAAGAAAATATTTTTGTATAGTGTTTGTGTTTTAAGCTGTGCTATTACAAAACAGTCAAAAAGTTAAAAAATTAAGTATATAAAGTTTAAAAAGTTAGAGTAAGCTAAGGTTAATAATTGTAGAAAAACATTTTTCATAAATTTAATGTTGTCTTAGTTACAGTATTTATAAAGTCTACAGTAATGTATAGTAATGCCTTAGGCCCTTGCATTCACTCACCACTCACTCACTGACTCATCAGGGCAACTTCCAGTCCTGCAAGCTCCATTCATGGTAAGTGTCCTAGAAAGATCTACCATTTAAAAATCTTTCATATGGTATTTTCACCACACCTTTTGTATGTTTAGATACATAAACAGTTAGCATTGTGTTACAATTACCAATAGTATTCAATACAGTCACATGCTGTACAGGTTTGTCGCCTAGGGGTAATAGGGTGTACCATATAGCCTAAATGTATAGTAGGCTATAACATCTAGTTTGCGTAAGGACACTCTGTGATGTTCACACAAAGATGAAATCACCTAATGACACATTTCTCAGAGCTTGTCCCTTTAGCTAAGTGATGCATGACTTCAGTTTTGCCCCATTTCTAGAGCATAGTCCTCCATGACTTTCAATGAAAAACCCGATAGCTTTCATCTTCTCAATCCTGAAGAGCTGAAGGAGATTTAGGCTGAACTTAAAGAAATTTTCAGCTTAGCTCATTAGTCTTCTACTCCATAGATCTTCAACATTTAACAAGTGTTTTGAAAAAGACACCTACAAAGTGCTTGAAGTCATCAACTCTCAAATCTTGTCATTGCAGCACCACGTCAAATGACTAAACACTTGCTATTTTCTTAGTCCACTGGAGGAGCCTATTGTCAGAGGCCAAACCTGGATTATTAGCTCCAAACAAGCACTCAGATCAGTAAGTGTCCTCAGGTGATAAGTGGTTGTTGCTACTTGGCATCAATTCACCAGTTCTTCTGAAACTTACGTCTGTTTTGTTTTAGGGCCCTTATCAATGGTAGGTCTTTGTTTCCTCAACACCACTGGACAGTGAAAGATTTTGCACTGCCTTTCAGAAGTTGACACTTTAGTTTTTTGTTTTACCTTCTACCGTAGCATCAGAAGTTAACCAACGTGTTTTGAAGAAACCAGAGTGTTTGAGATGCCTCAGTTTTCTAGTTACATCACACTGGCCCCATAATTGCTGCTGAGTTCTTTCTTACAGCAGAAAACTGTAGGAAAATTGTAGCAGAAAACTTTTCTACAGCAGAAAACGGTAGCAGAAAAATGGCACTAAAACGCAGCGTACACTTGCAAACAGCAAATGCTACCAAGAGAAACAGTGATGTCCAAACGTCAGCTTACATTTGCATGGTTCTTCTTTGGAATTTTTATTCATCTAGTCCTATTTACTTTCTTAGCTAAACAATGCTTTTTAAAAATATACCTTTAAAATTTTATCCTATTTTTGTAGTTGTTGCCAGTGGGACAATTTGTCCTACTGTGACCCTAATGCATCTTATACTGTGGTGGAAAAAAGAATAAGATTTTAAATTGTGCTTTCTGAAAAACTGGATATAGAAACAGACAATGGCCAGACCATATATAAAAATAGGCCTGGCTGGGCATGGTGGCTCACGCCTGTAATCCCAGCACTTTGGGAGGCCAAGCGGATGGATCATGAGGTCAAGAGATCAAGACCATCCTGGCCAACATGGTGAAACCCCTGTCTCTACTAAAAATACAAATTTAGCTGGGCATGGTGGCACGCAGCTGTAGTCCCAGCTACTCGGGAGGCTGAGGCAGGAAAATCACTTGAGCCCAGGAGGTGGAGGTTGCAGTGAGCTGAGATCATGCCACTGCACTCCAGCCTGGCGACAGAGCAAGACTCCATCTAAGAAAAAAAAAAAAAAATAGACCATTGACCCACAGCCTACAGCAGCCTGCCTGGGGAACCAATTCCCTTATCTTCAATAAACAATACAGCAAGGTAGTCTGCTTAAGTCCGACTTGCAGGAAGTCAGATTGCTGTCTCTAGTAACAATCCAGGAGGCTAAATAATAACTTTTATAACAATTGTTTTAAAATGGCCAGGACTTGATTAATAACTGACAGTTCCCCCAATATTTGTGCCTGCTTCCAACTTAGGACCAACCAGGGAAAGCTAAATATGCATCCTACCCAATTACATAGGATACTCCACTTCCAGTTACCCCTTAAGCATTCCCCATGCCAACAGCCTCCAATCAGGTCCCTTTTAACCACTATAAAGTTTCCTACTTCTTTGCCTGTCTTTGAGTCTCTGCCAAAATGCAAAAGATGGTGGCTGACTCCTTTGTTATAGCAATTTGTGAATAATTTTTGCTCTTTTCATTTGGTTGATCTTCATGTATTTTCACATTATTAAGCTTTATATAAATTAAAATCCAAGAGGCTAACATTTAATTAATGACATTTAAGATCTTCTATATCGGATAATGCTATACATTATATTAGGTTTAATATTTCTATTAAGTATAGATTTAGTAAATTACTAAAAATGCTAAAAATTCATCAAATATATATGTAAGTACAAATAAGAAAAATGCAAAGAGAGATATTAGAAAGGGGTAATATATTCAGGAATAAATATTCAAGATATTTTAAGTTGGAGATATTGTCTGTTGGTACTAAATCAATTTCCCCCTGTTTTGTGCTTTTTTCCATATCACTTGGGGTTGAAGCCTGGACACCACTTCTTCCAGAGTCCCTTTCTTAGGAAGGCACTCACTTGCGATTAGAAGGCAGTGGAAAATTGCTGTCATTCTGCTTCTGACAGCAAGTAGCAGCAGCTGCCAGGAGTGTGGGTTTGTTTAGTGCTGCAGGGCCAATAGTAGCTTCCTGCAGTTCCTGACCTTTGGAAGCACAATTTTGCTTTTTCTGTCCTTACAAAACTTTTGCAATGCACTTCACTGTATTACATCTCTCTGGGCTTAAAATACCTTGAGTGTGTTTTTTCCCCCTTGTAAATCTGGGCTAGACTGAATAATCTTGTAAGTATGTAAATATAAGCAACTATTTTAAAATAACCTGGGTTTTTAAATGTAATACAGATGCTCTTCAACTTATGATGGGGTTAACTCCCAATAAATCCATTGTAAATTGAAAATATTGTGAGTTGAAAGTGTAGAGTATAAGTTGTTCACCTTCATGATCATGTGGCTGAGGCTGCCTGGCATTGTGAAAGAGTATCTTACTGAGTATCGCTGGTCTGGAATAAGATCAAAATTTAAAGTATGGTTTATACAGAATGGATATTGCTTTTACACCATTGAAAAGTCAAAAAATCCTAAGTCAAACCATCTTAAGTCAGGTGTGTCTGTAGTTTAAAAAAAATTACAAATAAAGAATATCCAATGTTGTTGGGAGTGCAGAGAAGATTTACAAGGTAAACATTGATTTGTTTAAAGTTTGAGAGAAAAAATTAGATAATATGCTTTATGATTTTTAAATGTTAATTTCAAAATAATTATACATTCACAGGAGTTGATGAAAATAGTACAGAGAGGTCCCTTGTACCCTTCACCCAGTTTCCCCCAATGGTTACATCATACATAACTATAGCACAATATCGAAACAAGGAAATCGACACTGATACAATGTATTTGCAGTTTTCTACTTTATCACATGTGTAGATTCATGTAACCACCACTGTGATCAAAATACAGAACTATATTCCATCACCACAAAGATCTTCCTCATGCCACTCGCCCTCCTTAAGAGTCACACCATTCCCCCACCCCCCACCATCCCTACACTGTGCCAACCACTAATTTGATTTTCATCTGTATAATTTTATCATTTAGAAAATGTTATATAAATGGAATTATACTATATGTGACCTTCCGAGACTGGCATTTTGTACTCAGAATAATGCCCTTGGGATCTGTATTAGGTGCTCCAGAGCAGTTGTACTAACAGGATATGTATATATAGAAAGATACTTCTTTTAAAGAATTTGCTCACATGATTGTGGAAGCTTACTGAGTCCAAATTCTGATGGAAGAGGCCAGCAGTGGAGGAGACTGGGACAGAGTTGCAGTTTGAGCCCAAAGGTAGTCTGCTGTGGAACCAGGAAGAGCCAGGATTGCAGATGGAGTCTGAGACAATCTGTTGGAGAGTTCCCTCTTATGCTAATCAGGCATTCAACTGATTAAATGAGGGGAACCCAGTTATGGAGGGCAATGTACTTTACTTAAAATCTACTGACTTAAATATGTAACTCTCACCCCAAAACTGCCAGATGATGTGAAATTCCATGTCCTCTACTTGGCTCCATTGACACTCAGATGGAGTAGATTAAACAACAGACATTTACTGAAAGTCCTCACTTAACATCATCAATAGGTTCTTAGAAGCTGTGACTTTAAGCAAAATGACATATAATAAAACTAATTTGACCATAGGCTAATTCAGCGATCCCCAACATTTTTGGCACCAGGGACTGGTTTTGTGGAAGAAAATTTTGCCATGGATGGGGGTTGGGGACTAGCGGTGGCAGGGAGTGGGATGGCACAACCTAGATCCCTCGCATGGGCAGTCCACAATACAGTTCACAAAGGTTTGCACTCCTGTGAGAATCCAATGCCTCTGCCGATCTGACAGCAGGCCATTAGTGGTCTGTGGCCCAGGGGTTGGGAACCCCTGGGCTAATTGATGCGAACAAGATTTAAGTTCCTGTGGCTTATTTCTGGTCACAAACACATCACCAAACTCCTAAATAAAGACTCAGAACACTTCTAATATTAAACATTAAAATAAATGGGAACTATATATACATTTAAGGTAGGTTTATAATAACAAGTAAGATAATTAATTATCCAGTTTTTGGTGAATTAGTGAGTGATGGTGGTCACAGTGGTGGTGGGTTACATTAAGGAACAAATGTTTGTAAAATGAAAATGGTAAGGAGCACCTCCTGCCACCACACAGCTCAAACGCAAAGAAGAACAAATACGTTGAACTCACTGAGTACTTTTGTACCCCATTGTTTACTATTGTACAGTTGTATGAATATCATGTACTTTACAAATTTTTATTTTAGAAACATTTCTATTCATTCGCTTATTCATTTTCCAACCTGCTTATTCCAGTTCAAGGTCATGGATGACTGGAGCCTATCCCGGCAGCTCAAGGACAAGAGAGGAACCAACCTTGTATAGGATGCCATCCCATCCATTGTGGGATGCAGACACACACACACATACACACAAAGTCACTCTGCTGGGACAATTTAGACTCACCAATTAACCTAACATGCATGTCTTTGGGATGTGGGATAAAACTCAAATACACAAAGAAAACCCATGCGGACGTGGGGAGAACACACAAACTCCTCATGGACAGTGGCCCTGGCCAGGAACCTATTTATTTTCTCACCAACATTGTAACAAAACGTTGAACAAAACAATGCTATAGGAGGACCCTCTGTGTTTCTCACAGTTCTGGAGGCTGGGAAGTCCAAGATCAAGATGCTGACAGGTTCAATTCCTGGTGAACTTAGAACTGAAGGCTCTCTGGCAGGGGTGCCTTGTGGCTGCAGGCTGGGTATAGAAACTCAGGCTCCCCACTAGGCCTCCACTTACAGAATCCTGACTGGGAGGGAGAGGGTCTCATCAGCGCTCCCACATGGCCTCTACTGACACCAGGAAGGGAGAAGTGCCTCCTTACACCTGGACAGTGGTGAAAGTCCCAGCTTTCTACTTGGCCTCCTCTGACAACACCTTGGCAAAGTGGGTGAGGAGTGCTTCCTTGCAACAGGGCAGGTGGAAGTCCAGGCTCTTCACATGGGCTTCACTAACACCACAGTGTGGAGGTGGCTGATTACTGATAGGCAGGGGCAAAAGTCCTAGGTCCCCAGTTGGCTTCCTCTGACATAAGCCTGATGGGTCTAGGTAGTGTCTCATTATCGCCAGGCAATGGGATAAGACAAAGCTCCTCACTCAGTGTTTGCTGACTGAGGCGGGATGGAAGCCCCTGATTTTTCTGTATTTGACTGGAGTAGTGCGGTTACTGTCAGTTATCTGCCTGGTAGGCTGCTCTTTCTTGTTCCCTTGGATAGAGAAACATGCTTTCCTTAGGATATTTTTGTCTGTGACTACTGATGTTTCCTGTTTTCCAGTTTCTCCAGCACTCATTCCTGGATATATTAGGCATAAAGAAGACCTATGAAACTCACCACTCTGTCATTCCCCAATCCCATGGTCTGAGGCCAACCTGCTTCTCCTCTCCATCATTCAAGGGCTTTTTATGTCTGTCTGTAGCTGTACTTAGCAGGAGGAATAGGAAGAATTGTACCTACTTCATCTTGTCTTAGAACCAGAAATCTCTCACCATATTTTTTAAAATATGTTTTTGTCATATATTAAAATATTATACATCTATCCTTAGATCCTTAAATAAACATATAATGTATCCTTAGAGTTAAGTTAATTTGGTAACAAAAATAAAACAAGACTAAAACTATTAATTATGTTAAAGCCATAAAAATATGCAAATTTTTTCCCAAAATATGGGAAATGTGCGTGTGTGTGTGTGTATCTCCTATGTATACACATATACCATATGACATATACACATAAAAAAAGACATAAAATGAAAATTGCCGATGTATCAATACCCGGGGGCAGGGAGTATTCTCAGGTTTAACTAAATACTCATATTCAAGTTTTTACCATAGGCCACACCTGGCTCTCAGATTCACTTAGAAGGATATTAGACAGGAGTCAAAGTATGCCAAAGTGCTGAATCAGGTCTTTTTCTTCAGTGGGAGAAGTTCTTGAAACAGTCCATAATTTATTCCAGGTGCTAGTTTCATCCTCTGCCCCCATCCCCCAAGTGACAACTCAGGTACAAGGAGCTGAATTTACACCTGTGGAAGTTGTGTCCACCCTAGCTTAGAATCCTCATGTCATCTACGAGCTAGTACCTCTTATAACAAACCCATGGGCACAGCTTCCAGAGTCCCTGTAAAGGGCATGCTCAGTTACAAGGGTCACTGCATTTGGAAATACCCAAACTATGGGTCCCCGTCATTTGTTACGGTTCATGAAATATTCTTCCCAGTAAAGATACAAAATGCCAACCAGAAGCCATTTGTGCCATAAGCAATGTTGTCTAAAAATCCAGCTGACATTCTTCCTCCATCAGGTTTCCAGAAAACAGCTAGAAAATTAGCCTAAGATTAAATACATCATGGAGAAGTAGAAAGGGTGTT
This sequence comes from Homo sapiens, assembly GCF_000001405.40. Lineage (NCBI taxonomy): Eukaryota > Metazoa > Chordata > Mammalia > Primates > Hominidae > Homo > Homo sapiens. The sequence continues at coordinate 3,736,031 of NT_167246.2, forward strand.
ATAAAGCATTTATCCACAAGATTCAAAATGAAATACAGTTAATTTTGTCCGTTTTAAGACATTATTTCAACCTTCAAATTATTTAAAAGAAGTACATCCTATATTTTGTGTGCTTATTCAAAAAAGGCATGGTAATACTTATAAAAAGACTTTAAATATTTTTATAAGTTTTAAATATTTTATAAGTAATTTTATAAATAAAATTACAAACCATTTAAGTGACCTAATTAAATCAAACACACTTTGAGTATGCACATAAGAAAAAAATTAGTTGAAGCATCCTGACTTAAGAAATCCTTGATCTTTCATAAGGTGTCTGAATACTCAATGTCAAAAACACTTATGAAGAATTAAACACTGTTGACCACAAGAGGGAAACCTAGTCCCAGTTATACTATAAATTAGAAAATCAAGGGAAAAATATGTGTCCTGAGAACTTTTGAAATAGTCACATATAAACATAGTATACAAGAAAAAACCAACCGTCATCCCTACCCAAGGACATGTTTGTGGTATGAGTGGTTTTAGTGTTTTGAGTGGACTGGTTCTTGGACTCCACATATTATTGGCTACAGAGATAGAGACTTGATTTAGAAAATCACAGTTGCCACTTTCTAAGTAAGCCCTTGACCAAAAGACTAGATTTCTTTAAACCCAGTTTTCTCAGGTAAAATGGAAATACAACTATTATCTAATAAATATAAGTAAGCTTTAGTGTCATAGTCATAGCAGTAGTATTTTCAATTGGTAAAAAGAAAATGGACCCCAAAAAAGAATTTCAGTGAAAGCAGTAACAGTCTTCTGGCATATTTCTCACCTTTCTTTCTACCTTAAAGGTTCAAAGTTCCTAAGTAATCTCAGAAACCTAAAATAGTTTATTCTCTATCCTCACTATTGGTTTTTAAAAAACATTTTGCAGCATGGACCACTGCTCGTGTACAGATGCTCTCCAACTTAACAATAGGGTTATGTCCCAATAAACCCATTATAACTTGAAAATATCTTAAGCTGAAAATGCATTTAATACACCAATAAACCCATCATAAAGTTGAACAATCATAAGCCAAATTATAAGTCAGAGACCATCTGTATTAGCTTAAGTCTTGGAATGGTTTATTTTTTAGATGCCATTTAGCCACTTATATTCTCTTCTATTTTATTGTGAGAACTAATTCCCCTCTTACATTCTGTGCTTGACCCATGCTATACTTAGTGTGAACAAGAGCCACCTTCTTCTCATGACTTCTATTTTTTTGTGAAAATTTCCTTCACTCATTCACGACATTTGGATTTGAAATCTTACCTACTTAAGTACTTTAAAAAATCATTTTCTACCATCTTTCTTATCAGGAGGCTCTAGTGATTCCTTCTCCACACTTCTAACTTCTCATCTTCACACTCCTTGTCTTCCTAACTTCACTACAGTAAGTGTTTTACATGTTTAGAACTCAGCTCCTTTACTATGATTGCTAACCATGTACCTTAAATAAACCGTCTTCTAGTTTTTTGTTTCTTACTCTCAATTATACCTTTTAGAAAAGAATTAAGAGTAGAAAAAGACTGCTACATAGACATTCTTATGATCTTCAGAAATGAGCACAGATCATGCTTAATGAAAAAAGATTTCCAAACAATGCTGCATATGTCCAGAGAAAAGGTGGCAGAAATGACTGTCGTTTGGGGGCACTATTGTCTGGACATGGCCAGTTCTCAGAACTCCAGTCCCTAAATTCCCTTCTAACTAAAGGAAAAGCCTCTTAAGGGTCTTATAGAAATCCTGCCACTTTCACCTGAAAGAATAATCTTCAGTTATGTGGCACATGGCCAAGAGTAAAAGTCTTTAGTCACTTGGAAGCAGACAGACACTGTAATGCTAAATAATTGGACATAACATGGAACTTACTGAGGCCTCAAATATCAATTTTACTTTGGGAAAAAGAGCAGCATCCTTAAAAGTGATTGAAAGTAACTCAAGTTTATTCCTTAACAGAGTGATGCTTAATCTAACAAAAAACATGTTATATGCACACTCTTCTCCATTACCTTGTAAGAAAACTGGACTAGGAAACACAGCTGAAATGGCCAGTTCTGCCTCCATTTCCTAAACCGTGTTATAATTATGTCTATGTGACCAGTAACAGACAATGACCATGATTTATACTTTTTCATATGTTTGTTGTTTTGTTTTCAATGTTTGTGGTCTTTCCTCAGTATCAGCTAAGAGGCCATTAACACAGATATCTGTTTATGGACATGCGACACTGTTGTTCACCTCTTTTGCAGAATTCATAAAGAAATGATGGGGAAAACACATCAAAGATAGAGTGGATAAAGCAAATGTGCCACATATACACCATGGAATACTATGCAGCCATGAAAAAGAATGAGTTCATGTCCTTTGCAGGGACATGGATGAAGCTGGAAACCATCATTCTCAGCAAAATAACACAGGAACAGAAAACCAAACACTGAATTTTCTCACTCATAAGTGGGAGTTGAACAATGAGAACACATGGACACAGGGGCCTGTTGGGGGGGTGGGGGGCAAGGGGAGGAGAGCATTAGGACAAATACCTAGTGCTTGAGGAGCTTAAAACCTAGATGACGGGTTGATGGGAGCAGAAAACCACCACGGCACATGTATACCTATGTAACAAACCTGCATGTTCTGCACATGTATCCCAGAACTTAAAGTAGAATAAAATAAATAAGTAAATAAGGAATGATGGGACAAACAAGTTTCTGTTATTGTCTCTCTACTGACCAAAGGGTGGTCAGAGAGTATAGGATGAAGCAGATTTGTGATATCCTTGAATAGATCTGCTCTTTACTATGAATTCTATCATCTACTCCCAGCGTATGTGGGAAAGGGACCAACTTACTTGCCTGGAATTTAGTGAAATTGTTTTCTAGGGGGACCAAGAGTTTCCTCTACTTGATATGAAGTTGGGTGGTTGAAGATGATAGGATTGGCTTCTGCTTCCATCAGAATCCTAAAGGGCAGGGTATATGGACTAGTTGGTATTGGATCTTGGAAACTGTGATGCATTGGGAATGGTCACACTCCCAGAGTTTGTGGACACAAAGAATGTTTTAGTGTTCCCTACACACCAGACACGAGCCATGAAGGAATCTGAAGAGCCTACCAAACCTTGCACAAGAGAAAAGCTTTACTTGGAACATCATCCAGGCTCAGAGAACACAAATATTTCATTTCCAGTAAGACGTTTCTGGTCTTTTTCTCTTCCTCCCCTTCCCTGAACCTACCCTAGATGAGCTATGGCCTCAAAGTGCCAGTAGAACGTAAGAAGGAAGGAGAACCACACTCATTCCTGCCTTCAACAATTTACACAGGGATAGAAAGAGATTTATATTAAATCAAGTTGGGACTTTCAATTATTATATAGTACCAAACAATCTAATTGCTGAACTAAGATATACTTGTGCAATTTAAGGGAATTGTAGAATAGCATATTAATTAGAATCAAGAAAATAATTCATGAAGTATGCTATAATTCCTACCCAAGCGCAGGGGAATAGCATCTCTAATGAAATTCTCTAAAGAGGCAAGAGCAGGCACAATGAGTTTTTGTTTGATTAAAGATTCCATTTAGTGCTTATCCAACCTAGCAATTACATTTGTATGCTTCAGATGTTTTAAAAAAATAAACAAAAGAAAGTACCTTAAATAAAGAATAGGATCAAATAGTATTTAAACAATTGAGTAAATTAAAAAATTATATGAATTAGATTGATTGAAATTGATACTTTCCTAATTCTCCTCCTTCAACACACAGACACACACACACACACACACGTATGCATACAAACACATCTGAATTCTATAAAATCATTCTGACCTTGATGAGATTCCATAGTTTACTCATGCAACAGAACATAATGTCTAAATGAAGTTTCTGGTCTCTGTTTTACATGGATGATTGAGTAAAATCATTCCCTATTCCTGGAAGAATAGCTAAGAAAGGATTCACAGGTGAGGACATGCGTTTTTTCAGAAGATGAGAACAAAGATGAGAAGATGAGAGCAACAGAATGTCCTATATCCTAATTCTCTGTGCTGACTTCGGAGTGGCCAATATGATAGAGATGGAAGGAACTCTGAAAACAAATTGCCAGAATTTCTAAGGAACAGGAGATGTTGAGTGAGTGAATCAAGCCATGGACTGGCTGTATGGGGGCAGCTATTAGAGACAACTACCCTTAGACTTCTTTGGTGATTGGTCAAGCTAATCTTTTCCTTCAGAGTCTCTCAATTATAAGACTTAGCTTGTGCCATTTAGAACAGACAAGAACACAGAGAATTATAGAACAATCTGACTACAGGTTCTCAAGTTAAAGCAATGAAACTTGTAGTTGGCCGGCAGGAAAATATTCTGAGATGTGGATTCAAAGTTTCTAAGTGTGCACACGTACACACACACACCCCTACCTGCATGCATTTTCTAATTTACAAAGACTAGTCAAGTAAAGAGGGGTAATTTCACACCCCAGGAGGTCTGTATAAAGATAACTCTGGTCTTTAAAGCATCAGGTTTCAGGTAGAGGTGAAGAGAGAATGAATCAAACTCAAACTGCCATCCTCCCAGGTTAAAGATGAGTCCAGTCATCGTGGAGGCCTCTATTAACACAGGACATGCTAGGAAGGCCCATTAACCCACTGCCCTAGCACATTTGTTAACGTCCTAGTGCATTTGTTGATATCAACAGTTCACAGTTTTTATTCTGATAGGGATCTATTCCAGCAGACCAGCTTCTGTGACCTCTCAGGATGCGAAAAAGTAACACAAGAAAAGCTTCTTATGTAGTGAATTGAGAAGGAAATACCTAGATCAATATTCCCTCAGCACCTCTGGTAGGAAGTCCTTAGTAGGAGAAAAACACCATGAAGACCCTTAGTGCAGAAGGAAAAGGGGGTAGGGGGTGGTGGAAGGGAAGCTAAAAGAAGGGGCTGGAGGTTCTCAGAATTCAAACCACACAAACAAATGAAGTATTGAGGTCCCAGACTTGATCTGGGCCCAGTGTGAAAGCCCTAACTTATTTCTCCAGAAGAATATGTCCTCTGGTTTTAGACTTGGCACTGTGGGGAGAACCAGAGTGATCTATGGTGGATATACACACAAACATAGACACACATATTTGCATTTAGTAATTTTTGTAAAATTTCCATTTGCTTCTCTGATCCTGTCTGTATCTTTGGGAATAGATGTAAGAATATTACATCTCTCAGGCTTGCTCTGCCCCAGGTTTCTGAACATGGAATACATTTCTCCAGTGAAACTCAGTATTATGAGATTTGGGAGGTGGAAGTTAGGCCACAGCCATCTCAGGGACAGGTTTCACAGACATGAGTTTTGGCAGCAGCCTTGTGTTCTAAAGACATTTACTCCTAGGGGCTCTAGAGGATCTGCAACATCAGCAGAGGCTTCCTGTGGGTTCCTGATCTTTTAAAATTAGGGGTCTGCAGTGACTTGTGCTCCTCCAGACCCCCTAACAGTTTTAAGGGCTAATTCCCTGTAATATATTCAGTTCTGCTTAGACTGATTACAGGGATTCCTATTTCTTGACTGAATTCTCATGGCTATAGTGTCTCGTCACCATTTGACATCACCAAGAAGTCCTCATTCAGGTGCCTTTGGAAATTCCCTCAAACACACAGGAAATTAGAGTTTGAAAGAAAACGGAGAACCATGAGCACTGTCCAAATAGGAACTTCTCTCCTATCACAGAGAAAGGGAACTGAAAGTCATTTCTCAAGTGTCCCAAATTTAGTAATCTCACAAGAAGAACCAATCAGTGTTCTAGGACTAAACAGTGTCATAAGTTGCTGAGCAACAACTTGGATTGAAGATGCTATTATAATATATGAAATGTCTTTGAATTTACCATGTTTTTCTCAAGCACCATTTAAGAACAAGGCATTATGGCAGCCAGCAAAGGGCAGACATAGAAAATTATACATGGTTTTGCCTCTAAAAGAGGAGATGACAAGCTTAAATCATAGGATCAGACTCTTAGCACAGACTGATACCATAGGCTCTCATCTGGCCCATTCTCCTGACTCTTTAACTTTCAGGAAAGGTATTCCTGAAAAATTGCAGGAGAGACCATGCTGTAGGTCTCTTTCTAGCGATCTAGGAGTTAATGCCACAGTGTGTTCAAAGCCCTTTGATGCGATCAGATAATCAGTAATGTATGGAATATTTGTGTTCATAACTTGTGAGAACGGCTGCATGGCAGGACAAGACCCCAGCACAACAGTATGGAAAATCCACCCTAAGCAGACATGTCATGACTGATGTTGAACAATGGACTCACCAGCCAGGCACGGTGGCTCATGCCTGTAATCCCAGCACTTTGGGAGGCAGAAGCAGGCAGATCACGAGGTCAGGAGATCAAAACCATCCTGGTTAACATGGTGCAACCCCGTCTCTACTGAAAATACAAAAAAAAAAAAAAAAAAAAAAAAAAATTGGCCGGGCATGGTGGCGGGCGCCTGTAGTCCTAGCTACTCGGGAGGCTGAGGCAGGAGAATGGCGTGAACCCAGGAGGCAGAGCTTTCAGTGAGCCGAGATCGTGCCACTGCACTCCAGCCTGGGCGACAGAGCAAGACTTCCGTCTCGAAAACAAAACAACAACAAAAAAAACAATGGATTCACCATCCGATGGGCTCCCTCACTGCCAGGTCACTCTTCATGGAAGTATTTGTATTCCAGTCCTTTCTGTGGAAAGAAATTAACATTCTCCTTTTCATAACACTGTATCTTCAGAAACAAGAGAGTCGAAGTCTCCTAATTTTCAGGACTGTCTATGTTGAACATCAAAATATATTCTTTAGAGCAGATCTTTAATAATCATATGACAAGAGAAAAACTTTCATAATCTTATGACATGAGGGAAGGAATATTAAAGCCGTTCTGTGGGTTATTATCTCTAACGTTCCCAATAGAATAGGCTTTGCCAGCTGGGTGCGGTGGCTCATGCCTGTAATCCCAGCACTTTGCGAGGCCAAGGCGGGCAAATCACGAGGTCAGGAGTCTGAGACCAGCCTGACCAACATGGTGAAACCCCGTCTCTACTAAAAATACAAAAATTAGCCGGGCATGGTGGTGGGCGCCTGTAATCCCAGCTACTCAGGAGGCTGAGGCAGGAGAATCGCTTGAACCCGGGAGGCGGAGATTACAATGAGCTGAGATCACGCCACCAACTCCAGCTTGGGCGACAGAGCAAGACTCTGTCTAAAAAAAAAAAAAAAAAAAAAAGAATAGGCTTTGCCCACTATACTCTCTCATATTCATTGACCTGAATCCTCAAATGAGGTGTGTCCATTAGTCAACTCCAATCTCTTGTCATATATAAGATGGTAGAGATGAGAAGAAGGTAGCTCCTTTACAGCCCACTATTTCCACTAACTACTACCTGTGTTTCAAGATACAGCCTTTCATCCTTCTCCAGTGTTGAGAGTGTTGAACCTCAGAGTTTCTCCTCTCATTTTCTCTAAATGAGATACAATGCCAGCCATCCCAAGCTCTTGGCCTGAGTTGATCATCTTGAAGTCTAGGACTCCAAGAAGCATGAAAGAGCTTCTTTAGTGAAGCTATGTCCTCAGTACTGCCAAAATTCAGACAATCTCCATGGCCTGACAATTTACCTTCTATTTGGGTAATTTATTGTCCCTTACGCAAACTCTCCAACTGTCATTGCACAGACATATGATCTGTATTTAGCTCTCACTTTAGGTGTTTCCATTGATTCTATTCTCACTAATGTGCTTCAGGTATATCCCTGTCTAGAAGTCAGATTGGGGTTAAAGAGTCTGTCCGTGATTGACTAACAGTCTTAAATACTTGATTTGTTGTTGTTGTTGTCCTGTTTGTTTAAGAACTTTACTTCTTTATCCAATGAACGGAGTATCTTGTGTCCTGGACCCTTTGCAAGAACCCTTCCCCTAGCAACAGATGCGTCATCTCAAAATATTTTTCTGATTGGCCAAAGAGTAATTGATTTGCATTTTAATGGTCAGACTCTATTACACCCCACATTCTCTTTTCTTTTATTCTTGTCTGTTCTGCCTCACTCCCGAGCTCTACTGACTCCCAACAGAGCGCCCAAGAAGAAAATGGCCATAAGTGGAGTCCCTGTGCTAGGATTTTTCATCATAGCTGTGCTGATGAGCGCTCAGGAATCATGGGCTATCAAAGGTAGGTGCTGAGGGAATGAAATCTGGGACGATAGACTACGAAGCATTGGAGAAAAGACCTATGGACATTTGGAAGATAATGTGTGGAGTGAAAGAATAGTGTGACAGGTATTATGTGGTCTCGACAGAAAGTATAACAAATTGTGGTTTGGTGGAGTTCTTCCCTCACCACAAACTGAAGTAAGTCAAATTTGGTTTAGAGGGTCAAAACTGAGTTGTGTATTGATGAATAGCACGGTCCTGCTACAAGCCAAACTGGGGGTGGGGGTGGGGGTGGGGGAGGAAGAATATTTTCTGGCAAGCATTAACAAGTTATATTTCTGGGCTTTAATTATTCTTTCTGGAAAATTAGTAAAATTAAAAACTAAAAACCACACATAGTTTTGCTAGAATTAAATGAAAAAAAAAAGTTATTAGCCCTGTTCTTATCTGAATACATGATACAGTAGTTATTTTTTGGAGTGTAAATCCTGTCGGTATATATTGAGCACATATATTGTGTTGAAGATTACTAGAAGGAAAAGTCATCAAAAAGCAACAATTTACCCCAGGAAAAGGGGAGGGAAGGCATGCTGATATGAGTTGCCTCATGGGACAGTGATAGCCATTCCCTGCCTTCCCATCTCCATGGTACAGCAGATCTTATATCATGTTAACTTAGTAATATTTCCAAGAGAGTAGAAAAATAAGTAAGGAAATGGGGAATCTGATATTATTCTCTCTCATCTCCAGAGCAACATTGGTGCTGTTGTAAAGATGTACTGTAGAAAAGTATTCTTCACCCAGCGTGACCCCCACAGAAGGTGTCAGGTAGACTTGAAATAAGCAAAGTAATAACCCAGCTCCCATACCCATAGTGGCAATTGTAGATTTCTATTGCCCCAAAAGAGCCATACATAGGGATACTTACCTAGAAAGACAGAGGATCTTCCCTTGGTTTGTGAAGAGGCAGCTAGTATATTTGTGTGTGTTTGCATAGATGCAAACGGTAAATAAATTCCTAGGTTTATCAATACACAGTCAAACATTAAAATCTCTCATCTTGGCTGGGCACGGTGGCTCACGCCTGTAATCCCAGCACTTTGGGAGGCCGAGGCGGGCGGATCACGAGGTCAAGAGATCGAGACCGTCCTGGGCAACATGGTGAAACCCCGTCTCTACTAAAAATACAAAAAATTAGCTGGGTATGGTGGCACACGCCTGTAGTCCCAGCTACTCGGGAGGCTGAGGCAGGAGGATTGCTTGAGCCCGGGAGGCGGAGGTTGCAGTGAGCTGAGATGGTGCCACTGCACTCCAGCCTGGCGATAGAGCAAGACTCCGTCTCAAACAACCAAACCAAAACAAAACAAAATATCTCACCTTATCTTTGAAGACTAAGGAAAAAAAAAATCTCCCACTCATCGATACACTCCACAGAGGCAGCATACTCTCCCAGTGTAGCTTTCTCTTTTCATGTTCATTATTCCCTTGGTGTTGGTTATTCTCAATGTCAATCGTAACAGAACATCTTCCATAATAACAGTCCCAATTTAAGGAGCATTAAGATAAAAGGTGGAATTGCCAAGGTCAATCCAGACGAGAACCTTCTCATAGAGGTAACCACCGTGTGGGTTTGGATGCTGGGAAGCAGGGGGACTATGACGCTACAAGGTCTCAGTCTTAATTTTTGGAGTACTTCAGTCCCCAGGTATATTTTCCATAGATTTGGCCCTTAAATAAAAAGAAGCTTCTGACTCTAAAATGTAAACAGTGCTTGTTACAGTCTTGTTGATATATTAAGAAATTACTCACCTTATCTCATTTAATCTTAAAAACAAACCCCTGACAGGATCAAAACCACAGCAGGGCTACATAATAGGAAAACTATACATAAATAGGTAGAATAATCTGCTCAGGATCACTAGGTAAGTTGCTGAATAAGAATTCAAGATGTTTTTGATCCCAGAGTTTAAAACCCAACCTTTCAAACAGTGTTTCCTTCTTCTTAGAGTACAATGTTCTGAGAAAGAGATCCTCTGGAATTCTGGCCTAAGTGTATTTAATGCCCGGGTAAAGAAAGTGAGAGAACATTTCTCTTTAGGGGCTGCTGCTGGATTTCTAAAAAGAAAATAATTTCTCAGCTAGTAACATGGAGCCAAACAACAGCTTCACAAGACTCTGGGTTCTTTAGCCCTCATCTCCTTCAACCCACCCTCTTTATAACCAGTCCTTCTTGTTTTTCCCCTCCCAGCTTTGTTCAGCAGCATGCCCTTCACCCAGACCTTGTCTTGTCACTCACCCCTACTCGCCATCATTCTTTCATTCCTCTTGGCCCAATCTCTCTCCACCACTTCCTGCCTACATGTATGTAGGTTATTCATTTCCCTCTCTTGATTCCCCCCACCCAACTCTCTTTCTCCATTTCTTGCCTTTCAGAAGAACATGTGATCATCCAGGCCGAGTTCTATCTGAATCCTGACCAATCAGGCGAGTTTATGTTTGACTTTGATGGTGATGAGATTTTCCATGTGGATATGGCAAAGAAGGAGACGGTCTGGCGGCTTGAAGAATTTGGACGATTTGCCAGCTTTGAGGCTCAAGGTGCATTGGCCAACATAGCTGTGGACAAAGCCAACCTGGAAATCATGACAAAGCGCTCCAACTATACTCCGATCACCAATGGTACCTCCCTCTCTGCTGCACTCCTGGACATGGGAATCCATAGTTTGAAAGTAGTTGCTTCAGCTCTTTGTGTTAGATTATTGTAACTGATTTTCCCTCCAAGGGCCTAACCTTGCCATTAACAAGCCCCAAATTCTCATGCCAGAGGTCTGAGAACTTTATGGGTTTGATCCTATCTTGTTGTGCTCAAGTCTTGTCTCTGTCATCCATGGTCTCCTACGAAGTCATTGCCCTAAGTTCATGCTAGGGGAGCCAGAAGGGAAGTCCTTGGATATCTTATACCTCAATATTGGCTCAATTTCTTGGGGAGGGGGTGCTGTCAGAGATTGTTATCTGAGGATGTGACATAGATTTCTCAGGGCACAATTTCAACTACTTTTTCAGCTTTAGGGTTTTTAGATACGTTTGTACCACAATTGAGCATGGGAGGGAGAGGGGTGAGCCTAAGCAGTGATGGCTGATTTCTGTCACGTCTGTCATGTGTCCCCCAGTACCTCCAGAGGTAACTGTGCTCACGAACAGCCCTGTGGAACTGAGAGAGCCCAACGTCCTCATCTGTTTCATCGACAAGTTCACCCCACCAGTGGTCAATGTCACGTGGCTTCGAAATGGAAAACCTGTCACCACAGGAGTGTCAGAGACAGTCTTCCTGCCCAGGGAAGACCACCTTTTCCGCAAGTTCCACTATCTCCCCTTCCTGCCCTCAACTGAGGACGTTTACGACTGCAGGGTGGAGCACTGGGGCTTGGATGAGCCTCTTCTCAAGCACTGGGGTATGGACCAACACTCAATCTCCTTTATTTCAAGGTTTCCTCCTATGATGCTTGTGTGAAACTCGGTGTTCTAACTGTTTCATAATATCTGCTACAATTAATATAACTGTCTTCTCCTACTATCCAGCTTCCTCCTTTTTTTAATCTGTAATTCTCTCAATACATCATTCTGTCTTCCTCTTCTTTAATCTATGAATAACTTTTCTCTTTATTAAGAACCCTACATTTGATTCTGAGTGTTACTTCTTCCCACACTCATTACCATGTACTCTGCCTTATCTCCCCCCAGAGTTTGATGCTCCAAGCCCTCTCCCAGAGACTACAGAGAACGTGGTGTGTGCCCTGGGCCTGACTGTGGGTCTGGTGGGCATCATTATTGGGACCATCTTCATCATCAAGGGAGTGCGCAAAAGCAATGCAGCAGAACGCAGGGGGCCTCTGTAAGGCACATGGAGGTGAGTTAGGTGTGGTCAGAGGAAGACATATATGGAGATATCTGAGGGAGGAAAACAGGGTGGGGAAAGGAAATGTAATGCATTTAAGAGACAAGGTAGGAACAGATGTGGCTCTTGATTTCTCTTTGCTAGAATGAATCAGACATTGGTATCATCTGGTATCCCAAAGCTTCAGGGTCTGTCATCCCTTTCTATAGACGGGCACCTTGATCACGGCTCCAGTCTTAGAAATCATCTCCAGTACCTAAAACCATTGTTTCACATTAGAATACTGAGTCTAGGGATCTAGAAAATACATTAGAATATGGAGTCTAGGGATCTAGAAAATACTGAGTCTAGGGATCTAGAAAAATAAGCCTCAAGATTTGGGCACATCCTAGCTTGTATTTCCTGGGGCAGGTCATCAGTTCAGAAGCATTTCCAGATCCTGGCTCCTTTCAGGTTAGGGTCAATTCATTGCATGAAATGGGAATCTCTTAGAGGCCAATGCCTGCTTTTGCTTCTTTAGTCTCAAATGTAGTATGAGAAACTCTAAAAAAAGGTAAAGCATGGTTGCTTATTATGTTCAGTTGGAGAGTAGGAACTAACTGTATACAGTTAGTTCATGTTGGAAAGGTTAGATGAACATTGAAAGAATTTTGCAAAGTCAAAGGATTAAGAGAGAAGAGGAAGGAATCTGAAGCAAGGAGCTCAAAACGGATCTTAAATTCCTTGGTAACTATGTGTGTCTTGCTATAGGTGATGGTGTTTCTTAGAGAGAAGATCACTGAAGAAACTTCTGCTTTAATGACTTTACAAAGCTGGCAATATTACAATCCTTGACCTCAGTGAAAGCAGTCATCTTCAGCGTTTTCCAGCCCTATAGCCACCCCAAGTGTGGTTATGCCTCCTCGATTGCTCCGTACTCTAACATCTAGCTGGCTTCCCTGTCTATTGCCTTTTCCTGTATCTATTTTCCTCTATTTCCTATCATTTTATTATCACCATGCAATGCCTCTGGAATAAAACATACAGGAGTCTGTCTCTGCTATGGAATGCCCCATGGGGCATCTCTTGTGTACTTATTGTTTAAGGTTTCCTCAAACTGTGATTTTTCTGAACACAATAAACTATTTTGATGATCTTGGGTGGAATTTTTGGTGTTTAAGCCAGTTCTTTGGGTGGCGGTGGGGGGTGGGGAGTCGGTCCTGGGGAATATATGTGATCCTTTCCCGGTAAAATATCTGAATGTTGAATTTATCTTATAAATTCTAGAATTCATCAGACATATCCCGGTTCATTTGGGCTTGGTCTCATTTTGTGCATCTGCAGGCAACCCTCTTGTTGTGGTCTAGTCCTCATCAGGAAAACCTAAAGTGGGGTTGGTTTGTTGGGAGATCTCTACTGAGCAATGATATAACTCTGTCTTCAGTAGAGTGAATCTGAAACCCCAAGGTATGGATCTCAGAATGCATGGGATAGAGGGGAGCAGATGGGGTTAGAGTGGGGAGAAGGAAGACAGAAGAATCCATAAACATTGCAGGATTTACATATCAACATCGTTCATTCCAGATTTAATGAGCAAAGAGGTTGGACACTGAAGACTGGCCTTACCCATTCTGTTAGACATAGTCTCAGATGCCTATTTTATTACCGAGAGAGTAGTCTGACTGATTCTTGAAACCACCTTATATTTGAAGATGTGTCTTTGAGTGGAAAAGCTGAGTGAAATTTGGGGTTGGGGAGAAAGATATGACATTAAGATGAGAGGAAGGAATATTTGAAACACAATGAACTGTTGCTCATTTGTCTATAAAACTATGACTTGATATTTATCTCTAAAATAGTTTCTAGAACCTGCCATAAACCACTAAGATAAACTATTCATGATAGTGTGGTAGACTGCAAATAAATGCTGTTGAAATGAGTTAGGCTTGGGTTTCATCTTGGCTGTATCATTTACTAGCTATGTTTTCACTGGTATCTTACTTAACTTAGCCTCACATTACTCATGAAAATACTGGTGTTAATTTTTACTACATTGAATTAATATCAGAATTAAAAGGAAAACGCAAGCAAAGTAATTAGATACATGCTTAGTGATAATAAAATATTGCAAAAAATTATACATTCTGTTGTTTTTCTCAAAATTTCTATAGACTGATGATAAAAATCTAAGAGAAGCTAAACAAAACAAGGATAAACCAAAGCATCATGACATTCTAAGCCTTACTAATAAATAAGAAGTTTCTCGGCTGGGCACGGTGGCTCACGCCTGTAATCCAGCACTTTGGGAGGCCGAGGTGGGCGGATCACAAGGTCAGGAAATCAAGACCATCCTGGCCAACATGGTGAAACCCCATCTCTACTAAAAATACAAAAATTAGCCAGGCGTGGTGATAGGCGCCTGTAATCCCAGCTACTCTGGAGGTTGAGGCAGGAGAATCTCTTGAATCCGGGAGGCAGAGGTTGCAGTGAGCCGAGATCGCACCACTGCGCTCCTGCCTGGCAACAGACTGAGACTCCGTCTCAAAAAAAAAAAAAAAAAAAAAGTTTCTCTACTGTTGGTTCAGAGAATCAAAGCAGAATCTTGAGACTACTGATGGTAGAATAGGTACGAGTGTCTTTCTTACATGACTACAAACTTTATTATAAAATAAATAGCTTAACACAGAGAATACACTAAAACTTAGACAAGCATGGATTAAGAAAGCAAAAAGTAAACCCATATACTACCATGTAAGAAAACCATTTTTGGCCAGGTGCGGTGGCTCACGCCTGTAATCCCAGCACTTTGGGAGGCCGAGGCGGGCGGATCACGAGGTCAGGAGATCGAGACCATCCTGGCTAACATGGTGAAACCCCGTCTCTACTAAAAAAAAAAAAAAACAAAAAATTAGCCGGGTGTGGTGGCGGGTGCCTGTAGTCCCAGCTACTCGAGAAGTTGAGGCAGGAAAATGGCGTGAACCCAAGAGGCAGAGCTTGCAGTAAGCCGAGATCACACCACTGCACTCCAGCCTGGGCGACAGAGCGAGACTCCATCTCAAAAAAAAGAAAAAAAAAAAAAAAAAAAAAAAAAGGAAAACCATTTTAATAGACTTTTATTTTTAGAGCTGTTTTAAGCTAACAGAAAAATTGCAGAAATTGTATACAGAGCTCCCCCACCCCCAGTTTCTACAATGCTTAACATCCTGTATTAATGTGGTACACTTGTTACAATTGATGAACCAATACTAATAATTATTATTAACTAAAATTCATAGTTATACGAGGGTTCACTCTGTATTACACAGTTATATGGGTTCTGACAAATACATAATATCATATATCCACCATTACAGGATTAAACAAAATAGCTTCACTGATCTAAAAATGACCCAGGCTCCATCTACTCATCCTTCCTTCCTCCCTCTGAGCCATTGGCATTCTCTGAGCTATTTACTAGTGTTTTGCCTTTTTCAGAATGTCACATACTTGTAATCATACAGCATAGAGCTTTTTCAGATGAGATTCTTTTGCTTAGCCATATGCATACAGGTTTCCTGCGTATATTGTCATAGCTTGATAGCTTATTTTTCTTTAATGTTAAATAATACTCCATTGTATAAATGTACTATGGTTTATTTACCCATTAATCTATTGAAGGACATCTTGGTTGCTTCTAATTTTTGGCAATTATGAATAAAGCTGCTATAAACATCCATGAACAGATGTTTGTGCAAACACAAGTTTTCCACTTTGGATAAATACATAGAAGTGCAATTGCTGGATCATATGGTAAGAGTATGTTTAACTTTGTTAGAAACAACTAGAATATCTTCCAAAATGGCTGTATCATTTTGCATTCCTACCAGCAATGAATGAGAGTCCCTGTTTTTCTATATCCTTGCCAGCATTTGGTATTCTGGGGTTTGGGATTTAAGCAAGAAAGCCATTTTAATATTTTTTTATTTTAAAATAATTATAGATTCAGGGGAAATTGCAAAGACAGTATAGAGACATTCTGCATACGCCTTCACCCAGTTTCTCCAAATGTTTATATTTTAAGTAATTATAGCACAGTAGCAAAACCAAGAAAATACCTTGATACAATGTGTATGTATAGTTTTATGCATATGTCTTATCACATTTGTAGATTCATGTAACCACCACCACAATCAAGCACAGAGCTATTCCATATCACAGAGATCTTCATCATGCTTCCCTTTATAGCCAAATTCCCCCCACACAATCACCTTAACAACTTAAAACCACTAATTTCTTTGCTATTAATCTCTAGAATAGTGTCATTTTGAAAATACTAGTTAAATGGAATCATGCAGTATGTGACTGGTGTTTTTCACTTAGCATAATACCCATGAGATCCATCCAAGCTGCTGCATATATCAACAATCTTTTTTTTTTTTTTATTGCTAAGTAGTATTCCATGGTCTAAATGCAGCACAGTTTGCTTAACTATTTGCCTATTGAAGGACATTTTGGCTGTTTCTAGTTTGGGGTCACTATAAATAAGGCTGTTTTGAACATGTGTTTAAGGTTTTTCTATGAGCATGAGTTCATGAGTTTTCATTTCTCTGGTATAAATGTCTGGGATATAATTCATGGGCATATGGAAATATATGTTTAGTTTTTCAAGAAACTGCCAAACTTAGCCAAGTATGATGATGATGGCTTATACCTGTAATCCCAGCACTTTGGGAGGCCAAGGAGGAAGGATAAATTGAGGCCAGGAATTTGAGGCCAGCCCCAGCGTCTACACTTTTTTTTTTTTTTTTGAGACAGAGTCTCGCTCTGTTGCCAGACTGGAGTGCCGTCATGCGATCTCGGCTCACTGCAACCTCCGCCTCCCAGGTTCAAGCAATTCTTCTGCCTCAGCCTCTCGAGTAGCTGAGACTACAGGTGCACACCACCACGCCCAATTAATTTTTGTATTTTTAGTAGAGACAGGGTTTCACCATGTTGGCCAGGATGGTCTTGACCTCATGACCTCGTGATCCGCTTGCCTTGGCCTCCCAAAGTGCTGAGATTACAGGCATGAGCCACCGTGCCCGGCCAAATGTTTTGTTTTGTTTTTGTTTTTTGTTTTTTGTCAGGTGGATGAGGTGGCATGCCCCTATAGTCACAGCTACTTGGGAGGCTGAGGTGGGAGGATTGCTTGAGCCCAGGAATTTGAGGCTGCAGTGAGCCACTGCACTTCAGCCTATCTGACAGAGCAAGATCCTGTCTCCAAAAGGAAGGAAGGGAGGGAAGAAGCAAGGAAGGAAGGAAGGAAGGAAGGAGAAAAAAGAAGGGAGGGAGGGAGGAAGGAAGAAAGGAAAGATGGAAGAAAGGAAGGAAGGGAGGGAGGAGAAAGAGAAAGAAAAAGAAGGAAGGAAGAAGGGAAGGAGGGAGGGAAGGGAGGAAGGGAGGGAGGGTGAAAGGAAGGAAAGAAGGAAGGAAGGAGAAAGAAAAGGAAGAGAGAAAGAGAAAGGAAAAGAAGGAAGGAAGAAGGGAAGGAGGGAGGGAAGGGAGGAAGGGAGGGAGGGTGAAAGGAAGGAAAGAAGGAAGGAAGGAGAAAGAAAAGGAAGAGAGAAAGAGAAAGAAAAAAGAAAGAAGAAAGAAAGAGAGAGAAGGAAAGGAAAGAAAGAAGGAAAGGAAAGAAAGAAAAAGAAAAAGGAAGGAAGGAAAGAAGGAAGGAAGGAAGAAAGAAAAAGAAAGAAGGAAGGAAAGAAAGAAAGAAAGAGAAAGAAAGAAACCGATAAACTATTCTCTAATTGCTTTGTGGGAGTATGGCCATTTTCATCATATTGATTTTTCCTTTTTTTTTTTTTTTTTTTTTTTTTTTTTGCGATAGAGTCTGGCTCTGTCGCCCAGGCTGGAGTGCAATGGCGTGATTTCGGCTCACTGAAACCTCTGCCTCCTGGGTTCAGGTGATTCTCCTGCCTCAGCCTCCCTAGTAGCTGGGATTACAGGTGCACACCATCACGCCTGGATAATTTTTTTGTATTTTTACTAGAGATGGGGTTTCACCATGTTGGCCAGGTTGGTCTCAAATTCCTGACCTCAGGTGATTTGCCTGCCTTGGCCTCCGGAAGTGCTAGGATTACAGATGTGAGCCACCGCGCCCAGACAATATTGATTCTTCCTTTTCCATGAACATGATATTTTTTTCCATTTATTTGTGTCATCTCTGAGTTCTTTGAGCAGTGGTTTGTAGTTTTCCTTGTAGAGATCTTTCTCCTCCCTAGTTAGCTGTATTCCTAGGTATTTCGTGTGTGTGTGGCAATCGTGAATGGGATTACGTTCCTGATTTGGCTCTCAGCTTGACTGTTGTGGTGTATAGGAATGTTAGTAATTTTTCCACATTAATTTTGAATGCCAAGACTTTGCTGAAGTTGTTCATTAGCTTAAAGAGCTTTTGGGCTGAGACTATGGGGTTTTCTTGATATAGGATCATGCCATCTGCAAATAGGCATAGTTCAATTTCCTCTCTTCCTGTTTGGATGCCTTTAATTCTTTTTCTTGCTTGTTGCCCTGGCCAAGACTTCCAATACTATGTTGGATAGGAGTAGTGAGAGAGGGTATCCTTGTCTTGCGCTGGTTTTCAAGGGGAATGCTTCTAGCTTTTTCCCATTTAGTATGGTATTAGCTGTGGGGTTGTCACAGAAGGCTCTTATTATTTTAAGTTATGTTCACTTACTACTCAGTTTATTAAGAGTTTTTAACATGAAGGGATATTGAATTTTATCAAAAACCATTCCTGCATCTATTGAGCTAATCATGTGGCTTCTGTCTTTAGTACTGCTTATGTAATGAATCAAATTTATTGATTTGCATATGTTGAACTAACCTTGCATCACCAAGATAAAGCATACTTGATCATTGTAGATTAGCTTTTTAATGTACTGCTGGATTCAGTTTGCCAGTATTTCGTGGAGGATTTTTGCATCAATCTTCATCAATAATATTTGCCTGAAGTTTTCTTTTGTGTGTGTGTCTGCCAGGTTTTGGTGCTGATCCTGATGATGCTGGCCTCATAGAATGAGTTAGAGAGGTATCCCTCTTCCTCAATTTTTTGGAATAATTATAACAGGAATGGTACCAGCTCTTCTTTGTACATCAGGCAGAATTCAGCTGTGAATTATTCTAGTCCTAGGGGTTTTTTTTGTTTGGTAGTCTACTTATTACTGATTTAATTTCTGAGATCATTATCAGTCTGTTCAGGGATTGAATTTCTTCCTGGTTCTGTCTTGGGAGGGTGTACGTGTCCAGAAATTTATCAATTTCTTCTAGTTTTCCTAGTTTATGTGCATAGAGGTGTTTTTAATATTCTCTGATGGTTATTTGTGTTTCTGTGGGGTCAGTGGTAATATCCCAATTGTAATTTCTGAGCGTGATTATTTGAATCTTCTCTCTTTTCTTCTTTATTAGTCTAACTAGAGGTCTTTTTTTTTATTAATTTTTTTTTAGGAAACCAATTCCTGGACTCATTGATCTTTTGAGTGTTGTTTTTTTTTCTGTCTCAATCTCCTTTAGTTCAGCTCTGATTTTGGTTATTTCTTGTCTTCTGCTAGCCTTGATATTGGTTTGTACCTGGTTGACCAGTTCTTTTAGTTGTGATGTTAGGTTGTTAAATTGAGGTCTTTCTAACTTTTTCATGTGGGTATTTGATGCATAAATTTCCCACTTAACACTGCCTTAGCTGTGTCCCAGAGATTCTGGTATGTTGTATCGTTGTTCTCATCAGTTTTAAAGAACTTCTCAATTTCTTCCTTAATTTCATTATTTACACAAAAGTCATTCAGGAGCAGGCGGTTCAACTTCCATGTAATTGTAGGGTTTTGAATGAATTTCTTAGTCTTAATTTCTAATTTGATTGCACTGTTGTCTGAAAGATTGTTTTTTATGATTTCAGTTCTTTTGCATTTGCTGAGGAGTATTTGACTTCCGATTATGTGATCAATTTTAGAGTACATGCCATGTGGTGATGAGAAGAATGTGTATACTGTTGTTTTGGTGTGGATAATTCTATAGATGTCTATCAGGTCCATTTGATTCAGTGCTGAGTTCAAGTCCTGAATATCTTTGTTAATTTTTTGTCTCGATGATCTGTCTAATATTATCAGTGAGTTGTTAACATCTCCAAGTATTATTGTGTTGGAGTCTAAGTCTCTTTGAAGGTCCCTAAGAACTTGCTTTATGAATCTGGGTGTTCCTGTGTTGGGTGCTGATCTGGTTTGGCTGTGTTCCCATTCAAATCTCACCTTGAATTGTAGCTCCCCCAATTCTCACATGCCACGGGAGGCACCTGGTGGGAGGTAATTGAATCATGGGGGCGGGTCTTTCCCATGCTATTCTCATCATAGTGAATAAGTCTCATGAGATCTGATAGTTTTATAAAGAGGAGTTTCCCTGCACAAGTTCTCTTGTCTTGTCTGCCACCATGTGAGATGTGATTTTCACCTTCCATCATGATTGTGAGGCATCCCTAGCCATGTGGAACTGTCAGTCCATTAAATTTCTTTCTTTTGTAAATTGCCCAGTCTCAGGTATATCTTTGTCAGCAGCATAACAGACTAATAGAGGAGAGTGGAGCACTGCTGAAAAGATACCTGAAAATGTGGAAGTGACTTTGGAACTGGGTAACAGGCAGAGGTTGGAACAGTTTGGAGGGCTCAGAAGAAGATAGGAAAATGTGGGAAATTTTGGAACTTCCTAGAGACTTGTTGAATGCCTTTGCCCAAATTGCTGATGGTGATGTGGACAATAACGTCCAGGCTAAGGTAGTCTCAGATGGAAATGAGGAACTTGTTGGGAACTGGAGCAAAGGTGACTCATTATGCTTTAGCAAAGAGACTGGTGACATTTTGCCCCTGTCCTAGAGATTTGTGGAACTTTGAACTTGAGAGAGATGATTTAGGGTATCTGGCAGAAGATATTTCTAAGCAGCAAAGCATTCAAGAGGTTACTTGCGTGCTGTTAAAGCCATTCAGTTTTATAAGGGAAGCAGAGCATAAATGTTTGGAAAATTTGCAGCCTGACAATGCAATAGAAAAGAAAATCCAATTTTCTGAGGATAAATTCAAGCCGGCTGCAGAAATTTCATGGGTAACGAGGAGCTGAATGTTAATTATTAAGACAATGGGGAAAATGTCTCCAAGGCATATCAGAGGTTTTTTTTTTTTTTTTTCCAGAGTCTCGCTCTGTCGCCCAGGCTGGAGTGCAGTGGCATGATCTCGGTTCACTGCAAGCTCTGCCTGCCGGGTTCATGCCATTCTCCTGCCTCAGCCTTCCAAGTAGCTGGGACTACAGGCATCCGCCACCACACCTGGCTAATTTTTTGTATTTTTAGTAGAGACGGGGTTTCACCATGTTAGCCAGGATGGTCTCGATCTCCTGACCTCATGATCCACCCACCTCGGCCTCCCAAAGTGCTGGGATTACAGGCGTGAGCCACCATGCCTGGCCATGTCAGAGGTCTTGATGGCAGCCCTGCCCATCACAGGCCTGGAGGCCTAGGAGGAAAGAGTGGTTTCTTGGGCTGGGCCCAGTGTCCCCATGCTGTATGCGGTCTTTGGACTTGGTGCCCTGTGTCTCAGCCGCTCCAGCTGTGACTAAAAGGGGCCAACATAGAGCTCAGGCCACGGCTTCAGAGGATGCAAGCCCCAAGCCTTGGCAGCTTCCATGTGGTGTTGAGCCTACAGGTACACAGAAGTCAAGAGTTGAGGTTTGGGAACCTCCACCTAGATTTCAGAGGATGTATGGAAATGCCTGGATGTCCAGGCAGAAGTTTGCTGCCTGGGCAGGGCACTCATGTGGAACCTCTGCTAGGGCAGTGCAGAAGGGAAATGTGGAGTGGGCACCCTCACACAGAGTTCTCAATGGGGCAGTGCCTAGTGGAGTTTTGAAAAGAGGAACACCATCCTCCAGACTCCAGAGTGATGGATCCACTGACAGCTTGCATCATGCACTGGAAAAGCTGCAGACACTCAATGCCAGCCCATGAAAGCAGCTTGGAGGGAGGCTATATCCTGCAAAGCCACAGGGGCGGAGCTGCTCAAGACCAGGGGAACCCACCTCTTGTATCAGTGTGACCTGGATGTGAGATACGGAATCAAAGGAGGTCATTTTTTGGAGTTTAAGATTTAAGTGCTCTGCTGGATTTCAGAGTTGCATGGAGCCTTTAAGTCCCTTCATTTTGGCCAGTTTCTTCCATTTGGAATGGGTACATTTATTCAATGCCTGTACCCTCATTGTGTCTAAGAAGTAACTAGCTTGCTTTTGATTTTACAGGCTCATAGGCAGAAGGGACTTGCCTTGTCTCAGATGAGAATTTGGACTGTGGATTTTGAGTTAATGTAGAAATAAGACTTTGGGGTACTCTTGAGAAGGCATGATTGGTTTGAAATATGAGGGCATGAGATTTGGGAGGGGCCGGTGGTGGAATGATATGGTTTGGCCCTGTCCCCACCCAAATCTCACCTTGAATTGTAGGTCCCATAATACCCACATGTTGTGGGAGGGACCTGGTGGGAGGTAATTTAATCATGGGGTAGGTCTTTCCCGTACTATTCTTGTGATAGTGAATAAGTCTCATGAGATTTGATGGTTTTATGAAGGGGAGTTTCCCTGCCCAAGTCCTCTTCTCTTGTCTGCTGCCATGTGAGATGTGCTTTTCACCTTCCACCATGATTGTGAGGCCTCCCCAGCCATGTGGAACTGCGAGTCCATTAAACCTCCTTCTTTTGTAAATTGCCCAATCTCAAGTATGCCTTTATTAGCAGCATGATAATGGACTAATATAAATGAATATATATTTAAGAAATGGATAAATTCCTGGACACATACACCCTCTCAAGACTGAACCAGGAAGAAACTGAATTCCTAAACAGACCAATAATGAGTTCTGAAATTGAGTCAGTAATAAAAAGCCTACCAACCAAAAAAAGCCTGGGACCAGATGGATTCACAGCTGAATTCTACCAGATGGATAAAGAAGACCTGGTCCTATTCCTATTAAAATTATTCCAAAAAAATTGAGGAGAAGGGATTACTCCCCAATTCATTCTGAGGCCAGCATCATCCTGATACCAAAACCGGGCAGAAACAACAAAAAAAGAAAATTTCAGGCCAATATTCTTGATGAACATAGATGCAAATATCCTTAACAAAATACTAACAAACCAAATCAAGCAGCACATCAAAAGCTAATGTACCACGATCAAGTAGATTTTACCCCTGAGATGCAAGGTTAGTTCAACATATACAAATCAACAAATGTGATCCATCACATAAAGCAGAATGAAAGGCAACAACCACCTGATCATCTCAATAGATGTGGAAAAGGCTTTTGATAAAATTCAACAGCACTTCATGTTAAAAATGCTCAGTTCACGCCTGTAATCCCAGCACTTTGGGAGGCTGAGGTGGGCAGATCACAAGGTCAGGAGATTGAGACCATCCTGGCCAACATGGTGAAACCTTGTCTCTACTAAAAATGAAAACTTAGCTGGGCATGGTGGCATGCGCCTGTAGTCGCAGCTACTCAGGAGGCTGAAGCAGGAGAATCGCTTGAACCCAGAAGGCGGAGGTTGCAGTGAGCCAAGATCCCGCCACTGCACTCCAGCCTGACAACAGAGAAAGACTCCATCTTAAAAAAAAAAAAAAACCTCAGTAAACTAGGCATTGGAGGAACATACTTCAAAATAATAAGAGCCATCAATGACAAACCCACAGCCAACAACATAGTGAATGGGCAAAAGCTGGAAGCATCACTCTTGAAAATCAGCAGGAGACAAGGATGCCCTCTCTCACCACTGTTTTTTTTTTTTTTTTTGGAGACAGAGTCTTGCTCTGTTGCCAGGCTGGAGTAGTGCAGTGGCGCGATCTCAGCTCACTGCAATCTCCGCTTCCCAGGTTGAAGCAATTCTCCTGCCTCAGCCTCCCAAGTAGCTGGGACTACAGGCACATGCCACCACGCCTGGCATTTTTTTTTTTTTTTAGTAGAGACCAGGTTTCATCATGTTAGCCAGGATGGTGTTGATATCCTCACCTCGTGATCCACCCACCTCAGCCTCCTAAAGCACTGGGATTACAGGTGTAAGCCACTGTGCCCGGCCCTCCCTCACCATTCTTATTCAAGATAGTATTGGAAGTCCTGACCAGAACATCAGGCCAGAGAAAGAAATAAAGGGCATTCAAAGAGGAAGAGTGGAAGTCAAACTATCCCTGTTTGCAGATGATATGATCCTGTGTCTAGAAAACCCTAAATCTCCAAATCTTGGCCCAAAAGTTCCTTTAGCTGATAAACAACTTCAGCAAAGTTTCAGGATAAAAAAAATCAACATATAAAAATCAGCAGCATTCCTATACACAAAGAACACTCAAGCTGAGACCCATATCAAGAACATAATCCCACTCACAATTTCCACACACACACATATTACCTAAGAATACAGCTAACTATGGAGATGAAAGATCTCTACAAGAAGAACTACAAAACACTGCTCAGAGAAATCAGAGATGACACAAACAAATGGAAAAAATTATCATTCTCATGGATAGGAAGACTCAATATCATTAAAATGGCCATACTGCCCAAAGTAATTTATAGATTCAATGCTATTCCCATTAAACTACCACTGACAGTCTTCACAGAACTAGAACAAACTATTTTAAAATTCATATGGAAGCAAAACAGAGCCTAAATAGCTAAGGCAATCCTAAGCAAAAGAATAAAGTAAGAGTTACTATGTTGCTCAACTTCAAACTATACTATGAGGCCACAGTAACCAAAACAGCATGGTACTGGTACAAAAGCAGACACACAGACAAATGGAACAGAATAGAGAGTCCAGAAATAATGCTGTACAACTCCAACCATCTGATCTTTGACAAAGATGACAAAAACAAGCAATGAGGAAAGGACTCCTCATTCAATAAACGGTGCTGTACTAACTGGCTAGCCATATGCAGAAGACTGAAGCTGGACTGCTACCTTACACCATATACAAAAATCAACTTAAAATGAATTAATGACTTAAATGTAAAACCTAAAATCATAAAAACCCTGGAAAGTAACCTAGAATATACCATTCTGAACATAGGACTTGGCAAAGATTTCATGGCAAAGACACCAAAAGCAATCACAACAAAAACAAAAATTGACAAATGGGACCTAATTTAACTTAAGAGCTTCTGTGCAGTAAAAGAAACTATCGACAGAGTAAATAGAAAACCTAGAGAATGGAGAAAATGTCAAGTCCTAATTCGGGAAAAGGAGTCAGGCTGGTGGGACCAGAAGAAAGCAAAGAGGTAAAACAAATAAGCTGTAAGTCTGTCTTTCCTCATGGTCCAGAACACACAGCCCTCCTGTGCAAATAACTCACAGTCTTCCCGTGCCCAACTATCATCAGACATCTATAAACTAGCTCACTGCAACCCTGGCATTGTTGCTACTGCACATAGCACTCTGCAGCCTAAGAACCATCCTATAAAATCTCCTGCAAGCCTTTGTTTCCGTGCAGTCAGCTTCTCTTCTGCTGGCCTGCCTGCCTGTTGCCTCCTTGCAACATATTTTCCTACTTTCTCTAATAAATCTGCTTTTTTTTTCTACCTACAACTGTCTTGGTAAATTCTTTTACCCTGGCGCCACTGGCCCAGATAGTTATTGCTCACCTGCAACAGAAAATATTTGCAAACTATGCATCTGACAAAGGTCTAATATCCAGAATCTATAAGGAACTTAAACAAATTTACAAGAAAAAAACCAAACAACCTCATTAAAATATGGGCATGAACAGACATGAACAGACACTTTTCAAAAGAAGACATACATGCAGCCAACAAACATAGGAAAAAATTCTCAACAGCACTAATTATTAGAGATATGCAAGTCAAAATCACAATAAGATACCATCTCATACCAGTGTGAATGGCTACTATTAAAAAGTCAAAAAATAACAGATGCTGGTGAGGTTGCAAGGAAAGAGAATGCTTATACACTGCTAATAGAAATGTAAATTAGTTCAGCCATTGTGGAAAGCAGTGGGGTGCAAAGAACTAAAAAGAAAATTACCATTTGATTCAGCAATCCCATTACTGTGTATATACCTAAAGGGATATAAACCATTCTACCATAAAGACACATGCACACATATGTTCACTGCAGCACTGTTCACAATAGCAAAGACATTGAATCAACCTAGATGCCCATCAACAGTGGACTGGTTAAAGGAAACGTGGTACATATACACCATGGAATACTATGCAGCCATAAAAAGAATGAGATTCTGTCCAGAATTGGTTCCTTCCGGTGGGTTCTTGGTCTCGCTGACTTCAAAAATGAAGCCATGAACCCTCGTGGTGAGTGTTACAGTTCTTAAAGATGGTGTGTCCGGAGTTTGTTCCTTCAGATGTTCAAATGTATCCCAAGTTTCTTCCTTCTGGTGGGTTCGTGGTCTTGCTGATTTCAGGAGTGAAGCCGCAGACCTTTGCTGTGAGTGTTACAGCTCTTAAAGGTGGTGCATCTGGAGTTGTTCATTCCTCCCAGTGGGTTTGTGGTCTCGCTGACATCAGGAGTGAAGCTGCAGACTTTCACAGTGAGTGTTACAGCTCTTAAAGGTGGTGCGTCCTGAGTTGTTCGTTCCTCCTGGTGGGTTTGTTGTCTTGCTGGCTTCAGGAGTGAAGCTGCAGACCTTAGCAGTGAGTGTTACAGCTCATAAAGGTAGTGCGGACCCAAAGAGTGAGCAGCAGCAAGATTTATTGCAAAGAGTGAAAGGACAAAGCTTCCACAGTGTGGAAGGGGACCTGAGTGGGTTGCAGCTGCTGGCTGGGGTGGCCAGCTTTTATTCCCTTATTTGGCCCTGTCCACATCCTGCTGATTGGTCCATTTTACAGAGTGCTGATTGGCACGTTTGCAAACTTTTAGCTAGACACAGAGCACTGATTGGGGCATTTCTACAGAGTGCTGATTGGTGCGTTTACAAACCTTTAGCTAGATGCAGAGTGCTGATTGGTGTGTTTTCACAGAGTGCTGATTGGTGCTTTTACAATCCTTTAGCTAGACAGAAAAGTTCTCCAAGTCCCTGCCCAACCCAGAAGCCCAGCCAGCGTCACCTCTCAAGATCATGTCCTTTGCAGGAACATGGATGGAGCTGGAGGCCATTATCTTATGCAAACTAACATAGGGACAAAAAACCAAATACCACATGTTCTCACTTATAAGTGGGAACTAAACATTGAGTACACATGGATACAAAGAAGAGAACAGTAGATATGGGGACCTACTTGAGGGTGAAGGATAGGAGGAGGGAAAGGATCAGGAAAAATACCTGTGAGATACTATGCTTATTACCTTGGTGATGAAATTATCTGTACATCAAACACACCTGACATGCAGTTTACCTATAGAGCAAACCTGTACATGTATCCCTAAAACTAAAATAAAAGTTTAAAATAAAAAAGAAAGAAATTAGTTGAATACTTTTTTCTCAGTGAAATGCTTATGCAAACAAATATCATACACTTTTATTTCAGAGATTTCGGGATCATAAAGGGTGTGTACCAAGGACAGTTTGTGACTAGCCTCCTCACATTATCCCTCACATTATCATTTCTCATCTCTTCTCCCCTAAACTTTCATGCCAACAGCAGACTAGGTAAGTTTCCCTTTCCTGCATCTCTAATGATTCAGGGCGATTAAGGTCTCCTTCTCCAGCCCCCTGCACCACCATTCCCACCCCCATCTCATCTCATCTCTGCCCAGAAGGCTGGAAGGACAAGCTGAAGCTCCCTCCTGTGTTCCCTCCCACAGCAGACACACAGACAAATCCCCACTCTACACTCACCTACCTGAGCCCTCCTAATTCCTTCTGGCTCACAATCCTACACCCTCCCACAGGGTGCTTACGTGTGCATACACACACACTCCCTGTTCTCAGGGACCCTACTCCCCTCCCCCACCCGCCTTGCTCACCTCGCCTGTGCATGGAGAAGCTCTCAAAAACCCCGTAGTTGTGTCTGCAGTAGGTGTCCAACAGACCCCGCAAGCAGCCCAAGAGGTTCTTCTGGCTGTTTGCATTCCTGGACTCTTCTCCGCTCCAGCTCCGCCACCGCCCGGAACTTTCTGACGTCCCTATGGAAGCGCGCATACTCCTTCCGGTGTGGACGAGTCTCTGCACAAACCGCATCCGCTCTGTCCCATTGCAGAAATAGCACTCGTGTTTAATCTGCTCCAAGAAATGTGCCGCAGGGACATGAAGAACCGGTTTCTTGGGCGGCATCCTAGGAAAAGAGTGATGGCTATGCCCACAATCAGCAGGGCGAGGGGCGGAACACCTTGACTGGCCCCCACCAGCCACCCCCGACCACCTAGGGGTTCCTCTTCCATCTGCCTGAGGCGGAGGGAGGCTGCGAGGGGCGTGGAATACCATTTGGGATCTGCTACCCATTTCCGAGATGAGCTGGACGCCTCTTTGCAAGGCTCTGGATCAGAATCACCTTCCTCATCACTGTCTCCTGCGCTTCCTCCTCCTGGGAGCCTCCATCCAAAAGACACTTCTGCTCCCTCCTATCATGCCACACTCTACTCATTCCTTAAACAAGACCCACTGCCTCCATTCTGTAAATGCTTCCTTAGTGCTTACCTTGTGTCTCATCTGTGCTGTCTCCTGGGAATCCAAACGGGAAAAATAGACCTCATCCCTCCGCTGGAGGAGCTTAAAGAGAAGTGAAATTGATGGCAAAAAACCAAACACGCAACACCTTATACAGGAAAGAAAAATGTTAAGAGAAGTGTGGAGTTCTAGAAGAAAGAATAGGATGATCTAAATTACATTAGGGTGCCAGAGAAGGACTCTGAGAGTGACAGCTCAAATGTGACCTTACAGGTTTAGTGGGTGTGAGCCAGGGGGCAGAGTGGAGCCCGTGTGTGTCTCTGGACAAAAAGGGAGGCACATTTCAGGTAAGCATAATATCATGTACAAAAGCTTGAAAGAATTGATGAACTTCTTCAAGAAACCAGAAAAAAGTTCACTAAAGCACAGCATGAAGGAAAGGAGGGGAAAAGATTAAACTGGAGAAATCACAAGAAGGAAACAATTAAAATCATTGTCATGTTAGGATTTCGATTTATACTAAATGTAATGGGAAGCAGTTGAAGAGTCCATGACCCCAACACAGGTCCACAAACTTTTTTTTTTGGACTTTCTAAATCCAGAAAACTCACGAATTCACTTGCTGTTGTTTTTAATTTGTTGCCGAAACTCATTTGGCAAATCTGATCTGAAGAGGTAAGGACTCAAAAGTGTCACAGAGCTCTTACTGGTGACATGTGCATCTGTAGTTTCAATATATATAAACATACAAACATACGTATGCATGTGTAAATATACACAGATTTCAAATACTGTGCATGTATATATTTTTGATGTTTTTGTATTTATGTTTAAATGAACTATGAAAAATAAAAAATAAAGAAAAATCCTTGTGTTTAATAAAATGAGATGAATAGAAAGCATTTTTAAAATAATAATTTTTTTTTTAAGTTCTGGGTACATGTGCAGGATGTACAGGTTTGTTACACAGGTAAACATGTGCCATGGTGGTTTGCTGCAGCTATCAACGCATTACCTAGGTATTAAGCCCAGCACGCATTAGCTCTTTTCCCTAATGTTCTCCCCAACTCTGCCCTCCCCCAGCAGACCCTAGTAAGTGTTGTTCTCCTCCCTGTGTCCATGTGTTCTCATTGTTTAGCTCCCATTTATATGTGAGAACATGCGGTGTTTGGTTTCCTGTTTCTGTGTTAATTTGCTGAGGATAATGGCTTCCAGCTTCATCCATGTCTCTGCAAAGGACGTGATCTCATTCCTCTTTATGGCTGCATAGTATTCCGTGGTGTATATGTACCACAGTGAATAGAAAGCATCTTACATTATCAGTAGTATAAAATGTAGAATTACTGCAGAAATCTGAGGCATTTTACTGAAAAATATTTGGGATAGTCGTCACCATTTATGACTTACAATTACCAGTTGTTGAAAGTTAATAGAGATAGTAATTATCAAGAACACATCAAAATTTTGAAATAAACTGCATAACGCAAAAAAGTAAAAATGAAAATCTTGAACCTGCATTGACTGAATGGATTCATCAAGAAAGCAGTGAATTTATGCAACTGTCTAGTTTTTTTTTTTTTTTTGGTAATGAAACAAGCAAAACTAAGCCATGAAGAGCTGAACTAAGAGATAAATGTGTTTTAAAAGTGTGAGTCTAGAATTTTTAGAAGAAACACAATGTAAACCAGTGTTCTCAGCCTTGGCACTATTGACATTTTGGACTAGATAATATTTTCTTGGTGAGAGGAGCTGTCTACTAGGGTCCCTAGCTTCTACTTGTTACATGTCAGAAGAAACTCCTGGTGTGACAACCAAAAATGGCTCCAGACATTGCCAAATGTTCCCTAGGGAGTTGGGAGAGGGAAGGGAGGGACAGAGGGGTGGTGAACTATCCCTGGGTGAGACCCACTAGTGTAACCATCTGAAAAATCTATGGTTAAAAAGCCGCTATTAATTATGGAATATTTGAGATTTACACTGAAAACTCTGCCAATATTCTATCTATTTAAAATCTTGGTCCTACATAAAACTTAGGATTTTTAGGAATCTGGTCCCAGTGCAGAGCTATTTTTCTAGCAAAATTAATACATTCAGAACCAAGGTTTACTGATTTATTTGCCTTCCCAGTCGCCAAGTCATATTCTTAATTTCTGTGTCACTGGTCCACTACTCACTGCCTCAGCTAATTCATTTTCTAACTTTCAGTTTCCTACTCCCAACAATACAAGGAGGCATCAAATTACCAACCTTGGACAGAGGCAGAACTCTCATTTCTGTAGTTCAGCCTTCTCAGAAGGGGAGTGCTATGGTTTGGCTGCGTAAGCATTTCAATCTTGTCTTGAATTGTAGCTCCCACAATTCCCACGTGTTGTGGGAGGGACCAGGTGGGAGATAGTTGAGTCATGGGGGCAGGTCTTTCCCCATGCTGTTCTCATGACAGTGAATAAGTCTTATGAGATCTGATGGTTTTATAAAGGGAAAAACCCTTTCGCTTGCTGTCATTCTTCTCTTGCCTGCCATCATGTGAGACATGCCTTTCACCTTCCGCTGTGATTGTGAGATCTCCCCAGCCACATGGAACTGTGAGTCTATTATAGCCCTTTTTCCTTATAAATTATCCAGTCTTGGGTATGTCTTTATCCGCAGCCTGAAAACAGACTAATACAGGGAGAAACTAAGAAGATGGCATTCTCTCATAGATAGTTTCCAAAAAACGAGCAAGTCCCCAGATTTTGCGTAGAGACTTTCACAAGCTCCCTTCACCCTTCAGAAATGATAGCAGAGAGGAGAGCACTTTGGATGAGATAAGGTCTATCTTATTATTCCTAAATTCTCTGAGCACCTTCTTCACAGATAAGAATGTTGAAAAATAAAAATATGTGAAATTGCCGTCACTGTAGCTTGCATGGTTAGCACTGCAGTCTATGCTCATGTGCCAAGCTTAGATTGCCATATTTAGCAAATAAAAATAGAGGGTGCCTAGTTAAATTTGGATTTCAAATACATTATTGTTGTTTATCTGAAGTTCGGATTTAACTGGGTATCCTGTACTTTATTTGGCAACCTTAGCCCAACTTGCTAATAATGCTCAGAAGGAGTGAATTTAATACTTCTTTGTGTTCTTTAACACATGCCTATGACAGCGTGCACATAGGGAAGTTTTCAAATGATAAATGCAAAATGAATGAAAGTTTCTCCTTTACATTGGGACTAGCAGACCTTGCATCTCTCTCCCACCCTGAGACACACCCTGTACATAAGAAATTCTATCAATAATTCAGACTCAGTCTAGTCACTATTCACCAATGGTGGTTGTAAGCTCAGGCTCTAGAATCAGGAAATCTGAATTTAAACATGACCCCTTCTACTAGGGTTAATTTTAACAACCATTAACCTTTAAAAAAATATATAAAATGGATCCAACAGTAATATATTCCTCACAGGATTATTGTTGAGGGTAAAACTAAGCAGTGGCTCTTCTTAGTGCTGATAATATAATAATCACTCTAATATATTACCATTTTATTTTTACAATCCCTATAAAGGAAAGCTTCATTATTTTTCTATTCCTTAACTTCTAAAGCAAGTAACGTCTACATCATGATTTGGCAATTGTCTTTTATTAATTTATCACTAATTACCATTTTAAGCACATGAGGACAGAAACACTGGTTTATATATAATAATTCATATGCCTAAACCTCACACAAAAGGAGATTGCTGATATCGAAGAGAGGGACTTCATATATACTCAGATTTAAATTGCAATCGGATTTCTAGCACTAACTTTGTGACAGTGGGTAAGTTCATTATACCCTTTGAATTTTAGATTCCAAAGATCTATATGCTTTTAAATACCAAAGATATGATAGGATAGGTATTAGATTTCCATACCAAAATTTATAAGCCTGGTAATTAGTCACTGCAAAATATTACAATACTCCGCGCTAATACAGACCAGATTTGCTTTGTTTATTACTCCATTCTCATCACCCAAGGTAATAACTAGTATATTCTAAGTCACTAATAAATATTGGCTGTATGAACTAATAGCCTTTTGCATAACCTGTCACCACTGTACACAGGGGCCTTCTAGTGCTTCATTGCCAATGACTGAGCATCTGTCTCTGGTTCACAGGTCATCCAGCTTCTTTGTTCATTTTCTTTAGATCCAGCTGGCTCCCTGATCCCAGAGCATAGTCTTTCCCTGAGGCTCGCTACTCAAAAGAGTCAAACTTCATCCAGCCCTCACTTCTTCCACCCGCTCTTCAAATGGTCCAATCCACTTTCCATCCTGGATACTCCACTGACTGCAAATATCAACTCCTCCAAACCCAGTACTTGCGTCTCTGTCACGTTCTTACTTCACTCACCTGTCAGTGGTTCTCACCACAACTGGCCACTCCCTCGCCTCGAAAAAATCATTTTTCTTTGATTCCCATGCATCACATTCCTTGGGTTTTTTTTCTCCAGCATCTCTGGGGAATCTTCTCAGTCCCTTATGCTGTCCTGTGGCCCTCTGATATTTTTTCTACACAAAAATCTATCTCCCTCTGCAACCTCTTCCACTTCCCTGGAATTTAACACAGAACCTGCATTGACCCCAACATAAATACCTCCAGCCCTGGCCTCACCCTGAACTCCTCTCTTATATTCAGTTGACTTCCTGATTGCTTCATGTGAGTTCAAAAATCATCTCAATTTTAATAAACACAATTGTCATTTCTAATCACCCACTTCAAATCATTTCCTCCCATTATTCTTCCCTATTTCAATAAGCAGCACCACCATCCACCTATTTATCAAGGCAAAATACTTAGAAATAAGTTACATTTAATCCATTAACAAGTCATGCAAAAAGACATCCCAAGTCTGTTCACTTTATCTGGATCTGTCTTTGTCACTACTACACTACATGAAGCCAAAAATTTTTCTTCCCTGGAGAATTCTGCTGTTGTCCACTTGTGAACCCCAACAATCCAATCTCCACATAGTAGCTAGAATTATTTTTAAAATTGAATATTATCGGGGGACCTGCCCCGATAATCACGTAGGTTCTTTTCTATTTTCCTAAGCATCGGCCGGCTTGAGAAATAAAGGGACAGAGTACAAAAGAGAGAAATTTTAAAGCTGGGGGAGACATCACACGTTGGTAGGATCCACGGTGCCCCACAAGCCACAAAAACCAGCAAGTTTTTATTAGGGATTTTCAAAAGGGGAGGGAGTGTGCGAATAGGTGTGGGTGACAGACATCAAGTACTTAACAGGGTAATAGAATATCACAAGGTAAGTGGAGGCAGGGCGAGATCACAGGACCACAGGACCGAGGCGAAATTAAAATTGCTAATGAAGTTTCAGGCACCATTGTCATCAATAACATCTTATCAGGAGACATGGTTTTGAGATCAACCGATCTGACCAAAATTTATTAGGTGGGAATTTCCTCTTCCTAATAAGCCTGGGAGCGCTATGGGAGACTGGAATCTATCTCACCTCTGCAATCTCAACCATAAGAGATAGGTACGCCCCGGGGGGGCCAGTTCAGAGACCTACCCCTAGGTGTGCATTCTCTTTCTCAGGGACATTCCATGCTGAGAAAAAGAATTCAGCAATATTTCTCCCATTTGCTTTTGAAAGAAGAGAAATATGGCTCTGTTCTGCCTGGCTCACCAGCAGTCAGAGTTTAAGGTTATCTCTCTTATTCCCTGAACAATTGCTGTTATCCTGTTCTTTTTTCAAGGTGCCCACATTTCATATTGCTCAAACACACATACTATACAATTTGTGCAGTTAATGCAATTATCACATAGTCCTGAGGCGACGTACATCCTCCTCGGCTGATAGGATTAAGAGATTAAAGTAAAGGCAGGCATAGGAAATCACAAGGGTATTGACTGGGAAAGTGATAAGTGTTCATGAAATCTTTACAATTTATGTTTAGAGATTGCAGTAAAGACAGGCATAAGAAATTACAAAAGTATTAATTTGGGGAACTAATAAATGTACATAAAATCTTCACAATCCACATTCTTCTGTTCTGGCTTCAGCCAGTCCCTCTGTTTGGGGTCCCTGACTTCCCGCAACATAATATTAATGGACTCTCCTTGTAACCTTCCAGGAGCTTCAAATATGTTTAAATAAAACTTAATTCCTTACTATGGCCACCAAGGCCGAATATGATGCAGCTCCTGACTTTCTCTCTCTCTTACCTCATCTTCTGCCACTCCACCCCTTGCTTTCCATCCTTCAGCCCCTCTAACCTTCTTTCTGTCTCTTCAACACAGCACACGCCTTCCCATTCCTTGGCCTTTCCCCTTTTCTGTCTGTCTGGAACACTTGTCCCTTAGATCTTCACATGGCTGTCTTATTGTTCTTGTCTCAGCTAAATGTGAGCTCTCCTCAGGGAGGGCTCCCAAACTACCTGTGAATCCAATGTGAAGTTGGGTGAATCCAATTCTCTCTGTCCTATCACCCTGATGTCTTTTTTTAAAGGCATTATTGCTCTCTGAATTTTTCTTTTTTGTTAAATATTTATTGGGATATTGTCTGTCTCCTCTGGTATTGAGTTCCATGAGAGTAGGGATCTTTTTTATCCTATTCAAGTAGAAATCTCTCAGCCTAGAACAGAGACCAGAACAAAACTTTTGCTCAGAAACATACCTGTGGTCTAAATGAATAAACCGAAGTTCTGGGAACTGATCACTCTGGGTATTCTAGAAAGCAGAAAAGGGCTCAAGCTCCTGCACCCTTTCATTCTAATGACATGCTATATCCCTTCTCCTCCCTGTGAGAAATTAAGGCAAACTTCCTTTCTCTCCTCTTTCTAGTTGGAAGAAGGATTCACAGATAAGGAAACAGTGATTGTAAGAAAGAAAAAAATTTTCATTAAGAATTACCTCTTTTCTGCCGGGCGCAGTGGCTCACGCCTGTAATCCTAGCACTTTGGGAGGCTGAGGCAGGCGGATCATGAGGTAAGGAGTTTGAGAACAGCCTGGCCAACATGGTGAAACCCCGTCTCTACTAAAAATACAAAAATTACCTGGGAGGTGGAGGTTGCAGTGAGCTGAGACTGCACCATTGCACTCCAGCCTGGGCAACAGAGTGAGACTCCATCTCAAAAAAAAAAAAAAAAAGAATTATCGGTTTTTTTTTTAATAGTTTAAGTTCTAGGGTACATGTGCACAATGTGCAGGTTTGTTACATATGTATACATGTGCCACGTGGTGTGCTGCACCCATTAACTCTTCATTTACATTAGGTATATCTCCTAATGCTATCCCTCCCCCCTTCCTCCACCCCACAACGGGCCCCATGTGTGAAGTTCCCCTTCCTGTGTCCATGTGTTCTCATTGTTCAATTCCCACCTATGAGTGAGAACATGCGGTGTTTGGTTTTTTGTCCTTGCAATAGTTTGTTGAGAATGATGGTTTCCAGCTTCATCCATGCCCCTGCAAAGGACATGAACTTATCCTTTTTTATGGCTGCATAGTATTCCATGGTGTATATGTGCCACATTTTCTTAATCCAGTCTATCATTGTTGGACATTTGGGTTGGTTCCAAGTCTTTGCTATTGTGAATAGTGCCACAATAAACATACATGTGCATGTGTCTTTATAGCAGCATGATTTATAATCTTTTGGGTATATATCCAGTAATGGGATTGCTGGGTCAAATGGTATTTCTAGTTCTAGATCATTGAGGAATCGCCACACTGATTTCCACAATGGTTGAACTAGTTTACAGCCCCACCAACAGTGTAAAAGTGTTCCTATTTCTCCACATCCTCTCCAGCACCTGTTGTTTCCTGACTTTTTAATGATCTCCATTCTAACAGGTGTGAGATGGTATCTCATTGTGGTTTTGATTTGCATTTCTCTGATGGCCAGTGTTGATGAGCATTTTTTCATGTGTCTTTTGGCTGCATAAATGTCTTCTTTTGAGAAGTGTCTGTTCATATCCTTCACCCACATGTTGCTTGGGTTGTTTGTTTTTTTCTTGTACATTTGTTTGTGTTTTTTGTAGTTTCTGGATATTAGCCCTTTGTCAGATGAGTAGATTGCAAACATTTTCTCCCATTCTGTAGGTTGCCTGTTCACTCTGATGGTAGTTTCTTTTGCTGTGCAGAAGCTCTTTAGTTTAATTAGATCCCATTTGTCCATTTTGGCTTTTGTTGCCATTGCTTTTGGTGTTTTAGACATGAAGTCCTTGCCCATGCCTATGTCCTGAATGGTATTGCCTAGGTTTTCTTCTAGGGTT
The DNA here is from genome assembly GCF_000001405.40 of Homo sapiens. Classification (NCBI taxonomy): domain Eukaryota; kingdom Metazoa; phylum Chordata; class Mammalia; order Primates; family Hominidae; genus Homo; species Homo sapiens. The sequence goes on from NT_167246.2 coordinate 3,772,969, forward strand.
TTTATGGTTTTAGGTCTAACATGTAAGTCTTTAATCCATCTTGAATTAACTTTTGTATAAGGTGTAAGGAAGGGATCCAGTTTCAGCTTTCTACATATGGCTAGCCAGTTTTCCCAGCACCATTTATTAAATAGGGAATCCTTTCCCCATTTCTTGTTTTTGTAAGGTTTGTCAAAGATCAGATGGTTGTACATATGTGGCATTATTTCTGAGGGCTCTGTTCTGTTCCCTTGATCTCTATCTCTGTTTTGGTTACTGTAGCCTTGTAGTATAGTTTGAAGTCAGGTAGCATGATGCCTCCAGCTTTGTTCTTTTGGCTTAGGATTGACTTGGCAATGAGGGCTCTTTTTTGGTTCCATATGAACTTTAAAGTAGTTTTTTCCAATTCTGTGAAGAAAGTCATTGGTAGCTTGATGGGGATGGCATTGAATCTATAAATTACCTTGGGCAGTATGGCCATTTTCATGATATTGATTCTTCCTACCCATGAGCATGGAATATTCTTCCATTTGTTTGTGTCCTCTTTTATTTCGTTGAGCAGCAGTTTGTAGTTCTCCTTGAAGAGATCCTTCACATCCCTTGTAAGTTGGATTCTTAGATATTTTATTCTCTTTGAAGCAATTGTGAATGGGAGTTCACTCAAGATTTTGCTCTCTGTCTGTTATTGGTGTATAAGAATGCTTGTGATTTTTGCACATTGATTTTTTATCCTGAGACTTTGCTGAAGTTGCTTATCAGCTTAAGGAGATTTTGGGCTGAGACGATGGGGTTTTCTAGATATACAATCATGTCATCTGCAAACAGGGACAATTTGACTTCCTCTTTTCCTAATTGAATACCCTTTATTTCCTTCTCCTGCCTGATTGCCCTGGCTAGAACTTCCAACACTATGTTGAATAGGAGTGGTGAGAGAGGGCATCTTTGTCTTGTGCCCGTTTTCAAAGGGAATGCTTTCAGTTTTTGCCCATTCAGTATGATATTGGCTGTGGGTTTGTCATAAATAGCTCTTATTATTTTGAGATACATCCCATCAATACCTAATTTATTGAGAGTTTTTAGCATGAAGGGTTGTTGAATTTTGTCAAAGGCCTTTTCTTCATCTATTGAGATAATCATGTGGTTTTTGTCGTTGGTTCTGTTTATGTGCTGGATTACCTTTATTGATTAGCATTTGTTGAACCAGCCTTGCATCCCAGGGATGAAGCCCACTTGATCATGGTGGATAAGCTTTTTGATGTGCTGGTGGATTCGGTTTGCCAGTATTTTATTGAGGATCTTTGCATCGATGTTCATCAGGGATATTGGTCTAAAATTCTCTTTTTTTTCGTTGTGTCTCTGCCCGGCTTTGGTATCAGGATGATGCTGGCCTCATAAAATGAGTTAGGGAGGATTCCCTCTTTTTCTATTGATTGGAATAGTTTCAGAAGGAATGGTACCAGCTCCTCCTTGTACCTCTGATAGAATTCGGCTGTGAATCTGTCTGGTCCTGGACTTTTTTGGTTGGTAAGCTATTAATTATTGCCTCAATTTCAGAGCCTGTTATTGGTCTATTCAGAGATTCAACTTCTTCCTGGTTTAGTCTTGGGAGAGTGTATGTGTCGAGGAATTTATCCATTTCTTCTAGATTTTCAAGTTTATTTGTGTAGAGGTGTTTATAGTATTCTCTGATGGTAGTTTGTATTTCTGTGGGATCGGTGGTGATACCCCTTTATCATTTTTTATTGCATCTATTTGATTCTTCTCTCTTTTCTTCTTTATTAGTCTTATTAGCGGTCTATCAGTTTTGTTGATCTTTTCAAAAAACAAGCTCCTGGATTCATTGACTTTTTTGAAGGGTTTTTTGTGTCTCTATTTCCTTCAGTTCTGCTCTGATCTTAGTTATTTCTTGCCTTCTGCTAGCTTTTGAATGTGATCGCTCTTGCTTCTCTAGTTATTTTAATTTTGATGTTAGGTTGTCAGTTTTAGATCTTTCCTGCTTTCTCTTGTGGGCATTTAGTGCTATAAATTTCCCTCTACTTTAAAGCCAGAATTAGTTTCTAAAACTGAACATGAATTGACTCTCCTTGTAACCATCCAGTAGTGTCTCACATCTATTTAAATAAAATTCAGGCTGGGTACGGAGACTAATGATTGTAATCCCAGCAGTTTGGGAAGCCAAGGCAGGCAGATTACCGGAGGTCAGGAGTTCGAGACCAGCGTGGCCAACATGGTAAAACCCTGTCTCTACTAAAAATACTAAAAAATTAGCCTGGCATGGTGGCAGGCGCCTGTAGTCCCAGCTACTCGGGAGGCTGAGGCAGGAAAATCACGTGAGCCCAGGAGGCAGAGGTTGTAGTGAGCCGAGGCCACTCCATTGCATCCAGCCTGGGCAACAAGAACGAAACTCCATCTCAAAAAATAAATAATGAAATAAAAAAATGAAAATAAATAAAATAAAATTCAAATTTCTTACCATGGACATCAGAGCCTAATATAATGAGGCTCCTGACTTCCTCTCTGCTTCCTACCTCACCCTCTGCCTCTGCATTTCCTTGAATGCTATAGTTCAGTGTCTCTAGCCTTCTTTCTGTCCCTGCACGTAATTTCCCACCCCAGGGCTTCCCGCCCCCCCTGCCCCCACATTCTGTCTCCCTGGAACTTTCGTCCCTTAGATCTTCACATGGCTCTCTACTTATTTTGTTGTCTCAGCTGAATGTCACTTTCTCAGGCAGAGCTTTCTAAACACATGAGCTAAAGTTGGGTGAATCCATTTCTCTCTTTTCCACAAACCTGATGTCTTTTCTTCAGTGCACTATTACTCTCTAACGTTATCTTCTTTGTTAATTGCATATTGGGTTAATGTCTGTCTCCTCTATTGTTGTGTAACTTCCATGAGCGTCGGGACCCTCTCTATCTTAATCAAATACAATGATTTGAACTTGGAATGGAGCCGAGTACACAGTAGCTGCTGAGAAAAATAAGTGTGGTTTACAAGAATAAACCAGGGATCTGGGAACTGATCACTGTTTGGATCCTGGAAAGCAAGAAGGGGCTCAAACTCCAGCACTCTTTCATTTTGATGTCACACTAGACCCCTTCTCCTCCCGGTGTGAAATACAGGCAAAGTTCTTCTTTCTCCTCCTTCTAGTTGTAAGAATTCACAGATAAAGATTAACAGTGATTTAAGAAATAATAAATTTTTAAATTAAGATTCATCTATTTTTTGCCTGGGTGCGGTGGCTCAAACCTATAACCCTAGCATGTTGGGAGGTCAAGGCTGGAGGATTGCTTGAGTCCAGCAGTTTAAGACCAGCCTGGGTAACATAGCAAAATCTCATCTCTAGCAAAATTACAAAAATCAGCTGGGCATGGTTTCCTGCCTGTAGTCTCCACTACTCTGGAGGCTGAGGAGGGAGGCTCGCTTGAGCCTGGGAGGCAGAGGTTGCAGTAAGCCTAGATCATAACACTGAACTACAGCATGGGTGACAGAGCCAGGCCTTGTCTCAAAAAAAGGAAAAAATCTCTTTCAATGGATCTCATAGTGCTCTGGGTCTGTGCAAGCTTTAGGAATTTCTGGAAATGATGACAACATAGCTGGGGAAAAATAAAAACTGGAGGAAGAGGTAAGCAGACATGGCTAATTAAGGAAAGCTGAGGGCATGACGGGTGAACCTAGGAAATTTAAGACAAGACCCCAGTAAGACAATGAGTTCCCAGGACTTGCTCATTGACTTTCAGCCCTATGAGATGTGAACAATGTCCGCATTGTCTCTGTAACCTCACACAGTATATAGTTTGAACATTATTAAATTTCTGATATTTGACTGTTTTTGACTTACAAAAATAGAATTTCATATAATTTATCTTACGTTAGTTGAATATCTTCTTGTTATGTCTAGTTAGAGCATGTAGGACATGTAGGAGAAATTTCTATAGAAAGGTTAGAAGAGATTCATAATAAACACTAAGCCGGGCCAGGTTTTCCGAGGATGCCTTAAGTTCTTTAGGCACCAAAGAACACCCCAGAGATGCTCTTTATCTGTAGGGTGACTCCAAGTACTAAAGATCTTAGCTTCAGTTCCAGGGATTTTTCCCCATAAGAAAGACAGAGCACTAAGTATAACTTCTGTCAGAGAACCTACATACACTACAGGGATATAGGCTTTATAAACATTGGAGTTCAGAAAGAAAAAGAAAGGAGATAATGGGGAGGCCATTGGTACATCCTCACATTTGAGGAAGAGGGGCCAACACCAAAGTTCCTGTGGAGGACATAACCCAGGATCCTCTAGAAGAGACCCTTTGAATTATCTTGACTCCCACAAAATTTTCAGTAAAAACGTCATTTTGTCTGACGTAAGTCAACATAATAAAGGGAAGTGCTGTATGGGGAAATTATTTTAGCATCCTTATTGCCAAATCCTCTAAACACCCTGAGGACATGTGATGCAAAGGTTTTATTGGTGGAGATTTAAAAAGAAATGATCTGTACGAAGGCCCCTTACACAGTCTTATGGACTGTGTCATGAGCAAGTAGTCAAGCTCCTTTCGTGGAGGAGATAATTTGGGATCCAATAATACAGATGCACAATCTCTGACCAAAACGTCACAAAGTCTTAAGGGACATGGCCTGGGCACAATGTTAACAAAACTCTCTATTTTCCCCACCCCATAGTAGCTCAGCACCCACAATGTGCGCTTATGTCGGGTGTCCCCAGCCAAAGCCAGTGGGAAGCTCAGCACCATCAGTGTCACTGTCAGCGCTGCCATGCAGGAGCCTTCAGGGAGCTTCAGACACACCATGCTGGAGAACAGGAAAGGACCAGGGGCCAGAGGAGGAGGCAAGTCTTACTCAGGAAGAACTATGAACCCCTCCACCCACATTCCAAATTATGGGGTTGGAAGTTACTGACTTTCTTGCTCCTGGGTCGGGTAATCTCGTGTTGGAGAACCAATCAGCATCTGAGTTCAATAGCATCATCAGTTGCTGGTCAGAGATGCTGTATGAAGGTCCTCTTCTGAAACAGAATTTCCTTCTTTAAAGGATTGTTTTTAAATTAGTGCTTGAAAGATTTGATCCAGTTGCATGTAAAACACTTTAATTGGGTCCGATTGTGAGCCAGCTCTGTGCTGGTCAGTGATGTGTTCGTAAGTTTGAGCCTTGTAAGAGCATTCATTTCCCACTTGACAAGACAACTGTTTGCAGAAGTGAGTGTGTGAGTGTGTTTAGGAGTAAAGGAGATGGAAGGAACATGGTTGTAAATCCGGAGACATTTAAACTGGTCCTTATTGCACCATATCTTAATGTTGTAGATTTGGGAAAATTATTTCGTGTCTCACAGTTGAAATGAAGGCACTGTGATCTTTCAGGTCTTTCGATACTGGAAAATGCTGTGATTCTGTGGACGCCTGAAGGAGCAGCAGCCCCGGGTATCTGATAATATGACAGAATGACAGCTATTGACTAGAGAGCTTAATCCGTACCTGTTTACAGGTAGGGATGTCTTTAATAAGTTAAAGGAAATTGAAAGTTTGTTAATAATTTAATCTGAGTAAGAATATCTTTTTCAAGTGTGTCTCCTGATGCTGCCCCCAGGTTTAGTGGCCCCTCCAGAACACACACAGGCAAGGGGCTAACAGGGGCCACCTATGTGCAATGGAGGGTCTGAAGGTGCCTTTGTATGGCACTTACCCTAACAATGTGATAAGGTCAACTGTGCAATCCAAGTATTCATGGGTCTGAGAGATCGATCGAAGACTGTGAAAGTTAGCTGTTCATAGAACAACTCTTTTTTTTTTGAGACGGAGTCTGTCTCTGTTGCCCAGGCTGGAGTGCAGTGGAGCGATCTCAGCTCACTGCAACATCTGCCTCCTCGGTTCAAAGATTCTCCTGCCTCAACCTCCCAAGTAACTCTGACTACAGGCACTTGCCACCATGCTTGGTTAATTTTTTGTATTTTTAGTGGAGATGGGTTTCACTGTGTTAGCCAAGATGGTCTCGATCTCCTGACCTCATGTTCTTCCTGCCTCGGCCTCCCAAACTGCTGGGGTTACAGGCGTGAGCCATCGTGCCTGGCCACATTATGTTTTAAAATAATGAATATTTTATGTGAAGAGTGTTCAATCCCTCATTCTTGGTTCCCATTATGATTTCCTCATTTGATTGAGGCTATAGCACTTTATATTATGTTTCTCTTGTTTTATCATAAGGGAAGATAAAAGACGACTTTGCTAACTAATACATTTCAGAATACTCAGGAAAGAGAACACTAGGGAAAACTATGAATTACATTAGTTGATGTAACTATGTAATATTAAACATATTATTATACATTTAGATAATGACTATGCTTTTTATTAATATAAATATAACATCTAAGATTCAGAATGGACTTCAGAATACAACTATGCTTATAAAGTTCTGCATTAATTCACATGCTACCACATAGGCACTCATTTGTCTTTTTTTTGTTTGTTTGTTTGTTTGTTTGTTTTGAGATAGAGACTCGTTCTGTCGCCCAGGCTGGAGTGCAGTGGCGCGATCTCTGCTCACTGCAAGCTCAGCCCCCCAGGTTCATGCCATTCTCCTGCCTCAGCCTCCTGGGTAGCTGGGACTACAGGCGCCCGCCACAACTCCCGGCTAATTTTTTTGTATTTTTAGTAGAAACAGGGTTTCACTGTGTTCGCCAGGATGGTCTCAATCTCCTGACCTTGTGGTCTGCCTGCCTCGGCCTCCGAAAGTGCTGGGATTACAGGCGTGAGCCACCGCGGCCGGCCTAAAGTCTGTAACCTGTCTTTATGGAGAACTACTTTTGAGGCCGTACACTTCTTTCAGTAACAATATTGTCTAAGTAATGGTATGGCAAAGTTGTTTCTACCTTTTCTGGAGCTATTTTGACATTCCATTTAGTTAAAGCCTACTTTGTTTCTTGGAATAAGCGATGTAAGATTTGATCTATAGGAGCGGCCAAAAGAATGTCATCCATAAAATGAATGATGTAAGCAGTAGGAAACATATTTCGAGGCTCCTTTAATGCCTGTCCTACAAAATGCTGACATAACGTAGGACTGTTAAGCATGCCTTGGGGTAAAACTCTCCATTGATAGCAAGAAACAGGTTCTTTTTGATTAATAGAAGGCACAGAGAAGGCAAATCGAGGCTTATCCTTCTCCTGTAATGGTATAGTGAAGAAACAATCCTTAAGATGTATTACTACAAGAAGCCAATCTCTAGGAATGACCACTGGAGTTGGCAAACCTTGCTGTAATGGACCCATTGGTTCAATTTGTGCATTAACTCCAAACATGCAGCAGTCACCACCTTCCAGACTTTTTTGGAATAACAAACACTGGTGAATTCTGGGGGCTAACTGACTCCTCTATATGTCCTGTGTCCAGTTGTTCTTATACTAGCTGCTGAAGTTGTGTCAGCTTCTCCTGAGATAGGGGCCATTGATCCACCCATACGGGTTTGTCACTGGCCATTCTAATGGTAAGGCAGAGGGTGGAGGAGAAATATCAATGACCTCCATCAGAAATCCTGACGTCCTAGCCCTCTTCTATCTGTTTTTTCCAGTTATTGATATTGGGTTAGGTTTTCCTTGTAGGAATTTCCCTAAACCTTTCCCACTCTGATATCCCATGTCCTTCAACATTTTAAATCCTGGGTTATCAAAGTTTTCATTTGTAAGTCTCATATTCCATTCTGTAAGTAAGTCTCGATCCCATAAATTGATTGCCATATTTGCAACATAAGGCTGAAAAGTACATGGCTGTCCATCCGGACCAAGACAAGGTAAAATGTCAGCACTCTGTTGAACACTTTTAGCTGCTCCTCCTCCCACTAGGGATGTGGAGGTTAGTCTGAGAGACCATACTGGGGGTCAGTCCTTACTGGATATTACTGACACTTCAGCTCCTCTATCCATAAGTCCTATGGGCTATGGGATGGGATAGATAGATTTCCCTTGTAGTTGTGCTCCCAAACCCTTTATTTCCTCGTTTCTCCTTTCGTGGAGAAGGATAAGGATTTAATTTGCAGGGAATAAGCAACGACTGAGCAATATATTCTCCCAGTTCAAAAATGCAAAGATTTTTGACATTAAAACTACTTGAATTTCTCCTTCATAAATGGAATCAACTATTCCAGGGACTACAGTCATGCCTTGCAAGTTAAGGGGGCTTTTGCCTAAAATTAGTCCTATGTATCCTGTTGGTAAAAGTCCCCAAATGCCAGTGGGAACCTTGTAGGTTTGTCTCCTCCAACTAATGTAGTTCTTTCTCTGGTGGGGATATCTAATCCTGCACTTCCTGGTGTTCCTGAGGTGAGGAACACCAGGAATCAATGTTTTTCCTGAGACCCATCCCTGAAGTGGGACTGTGGTCTGAACTGGAAATGCCCTCATTGTTTGAGGGGCCCGGATCCAGGCCCCCTTCTAGTTTCCCGACACGGGGATGTTGTTTTGATGAAATTTTGAGCGGCACTGATTAGCCTAGTGATTTCCTTTGTTACAGTGAGGACAAAGTCCTGGTGTTTTTTTCCGCTGGGTGGGGCACTGCATCGTAATGTCCTTTCTGTCCTGAGATCTGGTGGAATTCCTTTTTAAAATGTCCAGTTTTGGCTGGGCATGGTGGCTCATGCCTGTAATCCAAGCACTTTGGGAGGCCAAGGTGGGCGGATTACAAGGTCAGGAGATCGAGACCATCCTGGCTAACATGGTGAAACCCCATCTCTTAAACAAATACAAAAAATTAGCTGGGCGTAGTGGCGGGCGCCTGTAGTCCCAGCTACTTGGGAGGCTGAGGCAGGAGAATGGCATGAACCTGGGAGGAGGAGCTTGCAGTGAGCCGAGGTTGCACCACTGCACTCCAGCCTGGACGACAGAGCGAGACTCCATCTCAAAAAAAAAAAAAAAAAGTACAGTTTTTCCACAGTTATAACATTTTCCCATTTTAGGGTTTGACCCTTGGTTCCTTTTAGATTTGTCAACTGCTAAATTAGCCATTGCCTGCACTAATATTGTAGAGCGATGAAGCTCATTTCCCACATCTTGACAAGCTCTGAGAAAATTTCCCAAGTTTTTTGTACACCTCACAGGTGCCGATGCACATTTACAATCTGCATTTGCATTCTCAAAAGCTAGAGTTAAGGTTAGCATCTCTGCAGCAGTGGTGTGATAAATCTGATGCTTCATTGCCTTTTATAGTCATGCAAGAAATTGTGCATAAGGTTCTTGCGACCCTTGCATGATATGTAAAAAGGATTGCACTGGGACTCCCTCTTCTGGAATTGTGGCCCAGTTGCATTTGGCAGCCTGTGCACACTGCTGGCATTTGGGAGTGCCATTTGATGTTCCAGGTCTGAATAAGGGCCATTACCTAAGAGCATGTCCTCTGTAATGTCTCTGTGTCCAGCCACACAATTCTGTCTAGCCTGGTCTGCACACATTTCTTGCCAATTTAAATTCCATGTCAGGTATGCACTAGGAGACAAACAAGTGTAAGCCAAATTCTTTACATCGAAGGGTAGAAGGCGCACAGCACCAAATACAGATACTAGCCATCCTAAAGTGAACAGGCTGTGTACACCATTATTTACCACACTCCTTTTAATTCCTTCAACAACTTAAACTCTAGTGGAGTGTGTTCATGAATAAGCTGCTATGGATTATTTGGATCAGGCCTTACAGAAATAGGAAAAGTGCAAGGTCCTAAGGGCTCTCCAGCTATGGCAGCACGGTGTAAAATTCTCTGTATTGGGGTCTCTATTTTTGCTACCGAAGGAGGCGGTACAGATGTTTCTGCTATTGGAGGAGGCGGTATAGGCCAATTTTTATCCTCCTTCTCCTGTTTTTTATTTTCAATTGGAGCTGTGGGTGGGACAACAGATTTTTTCAGATTTTTAGACTCAGAACATCACTCCTGCTGTCCAGCAGAAGAAGGAGATAATGGCAGAAGGACAGTATAGACTAAACTCCAAGTGGAGAAAACAGAAGGATCAACTTTGAGACCTTTTTACTGAGCCCATTTTAATCCTTCTGCTCTGTCCCAATTTTCCATATCAAGAGTGCCTGTCTGTGGGAACCATGGGTTATACATAATAACCTCCTGCAGCATTGTAGTTAATGTCTGAGATCTAACCTGAGCACCAGATTATTTCAACAAAACTTTAAGCAACTGCTCATAATGTTTTTCTTCAATAGACAAATTCTGCCTCACGTTACCCTGATTTAGAAAACTTCCCGTTCCCAATACTTCTTTAGAGCACTGACCTTATATTGCTCCCAGTACCTCTTTAGGGCACTGACCTTATATCAGCTGCCAGCAGACTCATCTCGGGGTCCCCATTCGTCTTGTCAATTTCAGTTCCTCTGCTCCACCAGATCTTCTTTGTTCACATTCTCATGTCCCTGTGTTTAGAAACCACTACGGTGTCGCCCTGTCGCTGTTTGAACATCACTATGCCATGGACCCTGTTGGACTGAACAAAGGAGGATGAACATGGAAATAAAGACAAAAGAATATATTTGGAAGAAAGGGTCGGGGCACCTTGCTCTTTGTGAACAAAGGCCCTGAGCCTGGAGCTTCCTTCGTATTTACTGAGAAGAGATAGCAAGGAGGGGGTCGTTGTCGGTCTGCTGCTTGCTCCAGAGCAGCCTTGCAAGACTACATTCCTTGAACAATAGATTCTAGATGTCCCAGTAGATAACCTGAAGGAGCTCTGCACCAGGGAGTGATTGCCCTCAGCAAACCTTCTGGTGGCCAGCACAGAGGAGAGTTTGCCCCTGCTCTGTATTCATGATAAACAGTTTGCTGTTTGATCATATTGCCTCAGTGGAAATTCTGAATTGGTCATGATTCTCCAGCCTCCGGCTCTCTACACTGAATGGATTCAACAAGAAAGTGGTTGAATTTATGCAACTGTCTAGTTATTTATAATGAAACAAGCAAAAATTAACCATAAAGAAGTGAATTGGGTGGTGATTGTATAAAAGATGTGAGTCTAGGCCAGGCATGGTGGCTCACGCCTGTAATCCCAGCAATTTGGGAGGCTGAGGCGGGCAGATCACGAGGTCAGAAGATCGAGACCATCCTGGCTAACACGGTGAAAACCAGTCTCTACTAAAAAAATACAAAAAATTAGCCAGGTGCAGTGTCGGGCACCTGTAGTCTCAGCTACTCGGGAGGCTGAGGCAGGAGAATGGCATGAACCCAGAGGCGGAGCTGGCAGTGAGCCGAGATTGTGCCACTGCACTCCAGCCTGGGTGACAGAGTGAGACTCCATCTCAAAAAAACAAAACAAAACAAAACAAAACAAAACAAAACAAAACAAAAAGATGTGAGTCTAGACTTTTCAGAAAGAGCACAGTGTGAACCAGTGCTCTCAACCTCAGCACTGTTGACATTTTGGACCAGGTAATTCTTCGTTGGTGATGGAGGCTGTTGTGTACATTGCAGGTTCTCTAGAAGTGTCCCTGGCTTCTACTCATTAAATATCAGAAGAAATCCCTGTTGTGACAACCAAAAATTCCTCCAAACATTGCCACATGTTCCCCAAGGGTGATGGGAGGGAAGGGAGGGGTGGTGAACTATCCCTGGGTAAGAACCATGGGTGTGAACCATCTGAAAAAATCTGTGTTGAACAAGCCACTATCAGTTATGGAGCAGCTGAGAATTACTTTGAAAAACATCTGTTGAAAATCTTGGTCCTACATAAAATGAAAATGTTGTAGAATTCTGGTCCCAATACAGTGCTATGTTTCCAGAAAATGAACTTGTGGAGAACCAAGATTTACTGATTTCCTTGCCTTTATAATCAGTCATCAAATCATATCATTTATCTTTCATAGCATCTTCTTTCTTAATTTCTGTGCCACTGGTCCACTAATTATCTGTAGTAATGAATCACAACCAGAGCCATTTGATTCCCATTTAATGCCCCAACTAACTCATTTCTCTCAGTCTCCCACTCCCAACAATACTAACAGGCATCAAATTTCCAGCCTTGGCCAGAGGTAGAACTCTCGGTTTTGTAGTCAATTCCCCTCAGAAAGGGAGAAACCAAGAAAATGACATTCTCATACAGGCAGTTTGCAAAAATGAGCAGGTCCCCAGACTTTGAGTATGACCTTTGCAAAGCTCCCTTTGCCCTTTAGAAACGATGCCCTGGATCAAAAATGTCTGTCTTTTTATTCTTAAATTATCTAAGCACTTTCTTTACAGAGAGAAAGTTAAAAAATAAACATGTGTGAAGTCGCTGTCACTGTGGTTTGCATGACTAGCACTGTAATCCATGCTCATGTGTCCCAGTTAGGGTCAAAAGGTTTGGCAAATAAAACCAGAGGATGCCCACTTAAATTTGGATTTCCAATAAATTATGGTGTGTATCTGAAATTCAGATTTAACTAGGAACCTGTATTTTATTTGGCAACCTCAGGCCAACTTGCTAGTCAAACCTCAGAACAAGGAGTGATTTAATACTTCCTTGTGTTCTTCAACACATGCCCAGGAGAGACATATAGAACTTTTAAAATGATAAATGCAAAATGAATGAAAGTTTCTCCTATACATTGGAACTAGCAGCCCTTGCATCTCTGCTCCCACTTCAAGAAACAACCTGATACATATGAATATCAGGAATTCTGTCAATAATTCAGACACAATTTGGTCACTACTCACTAATAATTGGCAGACTCTCAATCTCTAGAATCAGAAAATCTGAATGGAAACATAATCTCTTCTACTTGGGTCAATTTTTACTAACCAAAGCCTTTTTGTAATCTATCAAATGCATTTAATAATAGCATCATCTTCACAGGGTTATTTTTAAGTGTAAAATTAAATAATGACTTCTTAGCACTGACCACATAATAAACACTCAAAAATATTTTCATTTTAATTTTTTATGATCCCTTTAACTGCAGCTCACATTATTTTCCTTATTCCTTGATTCTAAAGCAATTAGTATCTTCATCATGATTTTGCAATTGTTTTCTGTTCTTCTATTAGTTTCATAAAGAATTGTCATTCTGAAAACATAGGGCAGAAACACTAGCTTATGTCTAATAATGCAGTATACCTAAACAAACCTCACACAAAAGGCATCTGCTGACATAGGAGAAAGGGACTTTCTACATGCTCAGATTTAAACTGCAATCTGATTTCTAGCACTACATTTGGGATACTGGGTTTTACTTATATCTTCTCAATTTTAGATTCCAGAGATGTATATGTTTTTAAACACCACAGATACAATAGGATCATTATTGAAATTGTATACTGAAAATCAAAGGCCTGGTACACAGTCACTGCAAAATGTTATATGGCATGTACTGATGGAGACCAGGTTCATTTTATTCATCACTCCATTCTCATGACTTAGAGCAGTAGCTGGCATATTCTAAGTCACTAATAAATATGGGTTGTGTGAAATATTGGCTGTGTGATGTTTTGCATGAACATTCACCACTGCACACAGGGACCCTCTCGTACTTCCTTGCCAATGATGACTGAGCATCTCTGGTTCACAGATCCTCCTGCTTCTCTTCAGCCTTTTTAGTCTTTTCCTTTAGATTCAGCTGGCTTCCTGAACCCAGAGCGCAGTCCTTCCCTGAATCTCTCTACTCAGAACAGTCAACCTTAACCTCATCCTCACTTCTACTTGCTGTTCAAATGGTCCATTCCATTTTCCATCCTGGATACTCCATTGACTGCAAATACCAACTCCAGCAAACCCAGCACTTGCTTCTCTCTCACATTCTCACTTCACCCACTTTGTGATACTCATTGGCTTCTCCCTTCTTGAAAAAAATCTATTTTCCTTGACTTACATGCATTGTGTTCTCTTGGTTTTTCTCCAACATCCCTGGGGCTCCCTCTCAGTCCCCTTTGCTGGCCTGTGACTTCTTTTTTCTACACACAAGCTATTACCCTATGTATCCTCTTCCACTCCCTGGAATTTAACAGAGTACATGTATTGATGCTGTCAACAGAAACACCTCCAGCCCTGAACTCACCGTGAGTCTCTTAAATTCCCTTGACCTTCTGATTGTTCCACATAAATGTCAATAAATCATTTCCAACCACCCACTTCAAATAATCTCCTCCCACAGTTTTCCCTATCTCAATAAACACCACCACCATCCACTTATTTGTCAAGACAAAATCCTTAGGAATAAGCTTGATTGTTCTATCCCCTCTACAGTAATCCATTAACAGGCTAAGCAAATTACATGCCGAGTCTGTCCACTTCATCTTTTTCACTGTCTTTGTCACTAATGCACACCAGGAAGCCATGAGCCTATTTTCCCTGAGGATTCCCTGCTGTGCTCCTAAATAGTCTTCCTGACCACTTGTGAACCCCAGCAATCCAATCCCCACAAAGTAACTAGAATTAGTTTTAAAAATTGAATATAAATGGACTCTCCTTGTAACCATGCAGTAGCTTCCCATATCTGTTTAAATAAAATTAAAATTTCTTACTATGAACATCAGGGCCTAATATGATGAGGCTCCTGACTTCCTCTCTGCATCCTACCTCATCTTCTGCCTCTCCATTTTCTTGCTTCCTATACGTCAGCCCCTCTAGCCTTCTTTCTGTCCCTGCACATAATTTCCCCCCCAGGATTTCCCCCACATTTTGTCTCCCTGGAAATTTTGTCCCTTAGATCCTCACGAGTGTCTACTTATTTTGTTGTCTCAGCTGAATGTCACTTTCTCAGGTAGAGCTGCTTAAGCATATGAACCAAAGTTGGGTGGATCCAATTCTCTCTTTCCACAAACCTGATGTCTTTTCTTCCATGCACAATGACTCTCTGAAATTTTCTTCTTTGTTAAATGATTATTGGGTTATTGTCTATCTCCTCTATGATTGTGTAATTTCCATGAGTAGGGGCCAATCCACTGTATCTTACTCAAATAGAATGATTTGAACCTAGAAGGGAGGCCAGTACACAGTAGCTGCTGATAAAAATAAGTGTGGTTTATATGAATAAACCAGGGTTCTGGGAACTGATCACTGTTTGGATCCTGAAAAGCAAGAAGGGGCTCAAGCTCCAGCACTCTTTCATTTTGATGTCATACTAGACCCCTTCTCTTCCCTGTGAGAAATACAGGCACACTACTTCTTTCTCCTCCTTCTAGTTGGATGAATTAACAGATAAGGAAACTAATTTTTTTCTTTTTTTTTTTTATTTTTGGGATGGAGTCTAGCTCTGTCGCCAGGCTGCAGTGCAGTGGCGTGATCTGGGCTCACTGCAACCTCCGCCCCCTGGGTTCAAGTGATTCTCCTGCCTCAGCCTCCCGAGTAGCTGGGATTACAGGCATGTGCTACCATGCCCAGCTAATTTTTTTATTTTTAGTAAAGACGGGTTTCATCATGTTGGCCAGGATGATCTCGATTTCGTGGCCTCGTGATCTGCCCACTTCGGCATCCCAAAGTGCTGGGATTACAGGCATGAGCCACTGCGCCTGGCCAAGGAAAGAGTAATTTTAAGAAAAAGGAATTTTTTTTTTTAAATTAAGATTCATCTCTTTCCGGCTGGGCATGTTGGCTCTCATCTGTAATCCTAGCATGTTGGGAGGCAGGAGGATCGCTTGAGCCCAGGAGTATAAGACCAGCCTGGGCAATATAGCAAAATGCAGTCTCTACCAAAATTACAATAATTAGCTGGGTGTGGTTTCCTGCCTGTAGTCCCAGCTACTCTGGAGGCTGAGGAGGGAGGATCACTTGAGCTTTGGCGGCAGAGGTTGCAGTGAGCCTCTATCGCACCACTTCACTACAGCCTGGGTGCGAGCCAGGCCCTGCCTCAAAAAAGGAAGAAATTATCTCTTGTGATGAACCTCATAGTGCTCTAGGTCTGTGCAAGATTTAAGGATTTTGGGAAATAATGACAACATAGCTGGGGAAAAATAGAGAGAAACTGGAGGAAGAGGTAAGCGGACATGGCTAATTAAGAAAAGCGGAGGGTATGATGGGTGAACCTATAAAATTTAGGACAAGACCCAAGTAGGACAATGAGTTTCCAAGACTTGCTCATTGACTTTCAGCCCTATGAGATGTGAACAATGTCCACATTGTCTCGGTAACTCCACTCAGAGTATATAGTTTGAACCTTAGCAAATTTCTGATATTTCACTATTTTTGACTTACAAAAATATAATTTCATATAATTTATCCTACATTCATTGAATCTCTTCTTGTGGAGTCTAGTTAGAGCATATAGGAGATGTAGGAGAAGCTAGTATAGAAAGGTTAAAAGAGATTCATAATAAACACTATCCTGGGCCAGGTTTTCAGAGGATGCCTTAAGTTCTTTAGGCACCAAAGAACACCCCACAGATGTTCTCTGTCTGTAGGGTGATACCAAGTACTAAAGATCTCGGCTTCAGCTCCAGGGATTTTTCCCCATAAGAAAGAAAGAGCACTAAGTATAACTTTTGTCAGAGAACCTATGTAAGCTACAGGGATACAGGCTTTATAAAGACTGGACTTCAGAAAGAAAAGAAAGTAGATAATGGGGAGGCCACTGGGTACATCTTCACATATGAGGAAGAGGGGCCAATACCACATGTCCTGTGGAGGACATAACACAGGATCATCTAGGAGAGACCCTTTGAATTCCCTTGACTCTCACAAAATTTTGAGAAAAAAACCTCCTTTTGTCTGACTTAAGTCAACATAATAAAGGGAAGTGCTGTATGGGGAATTTATTTTAGCATCCTTTTTCTAAATCCTCTAAAGACCCTGAGGACATGTGATGCAAAGTTTTATTGGTAGAGATTTGAGAAGAAATGACCTGTATGGAGGCCCCTTACACAAGTCTCATGGAGAGGGCAAGTAGCCAAGCTCCTTTTGTGGAGGAAGTAATTTGGGATCCATGTGATAAAGATGGGCAATCCCTGTTGAAAACACCACAAATTCTTAAGGGACATGGCCTGGGCACAGTGACAAATTTAGGTCCCTACTTTAACCCCCTTATAGTAGCTCAGCAACCACAGGGTGCACTTAGGTCCGGTGTCCCCAGCCAAAGCCAGTGGGGAGCTCAGCACCATCAGTGTCACTGTCAGCGCTGCCATGCAGGAGCCTCCAGGGAGCCTCAGACACACCATGCTGGAGAACAGGACAGGACCAGGTGCCAGGGTAGCAGGCAAGTCTCACATTCACGGAGAACTATGACCTCCCTCTACTCACATCCCCAACACAGGGAGTAAGGTACTAATTTCTTTGCTCCTGGGTTGGGTAATCTCGTGTTGGAGAACCAATCAGCATCTGAGTTCAATAGCATCATCAGTTGCTGCTCAGAGATGCAGTATGAAGGTCAGCTTCTGAAACAATTTCCTCCTTTAAATGATTGTTTTAATTTAGTACTTGGAAGGTTTGATCCAGTTGCATGTAGAACACTTTAACTGGGTCCTTATTGTGAGCCAGCTCTGTGCTGGTCAGTGATGTGTTCACAAGTTTGAGACTTGTAAGAGCATTCATTTCCCACTTGACAAGACAACTGTTTGCAGAAGTGAGTGTGTGAGTGTGTTTAGGAGTAAAGGAGATGGAGGGAACATGGTTGTAAATCTGGAGACCTGTAATCTAGTCCTTATTGCACCATATCTTAATGTCATAGATTTGGGAAAATTACTTCATGTCTCACAGTTGAAATGAAGGCACTGCGATCTTTCAGGTCTTTCAATACTGGAAAATGCTGTGATTCTGTGGACGCCTCAAGTAGCAACAGCCCCTGGGTATCTGATGATAGGACAGAATGACAGCTGTTAACTGGAGAGGGTATTCTGTACCTATTTCCAGGTAGGGATGTCTTTAATAAGTTAAAGGAAATGGAAAGTTTGTTAATAATTTAATCTGAGATTAAATTGTTTTCAAGTGTGTCTCCTGATGCTGCCCCCAAGTTTAGTGGCACCTCCAGAACACACACAGGAAGGGGCTTGCAGGGACCACCTATGTGCAATGGAGGGTCTGAAGGTGCCTTTGTATAGCACTTACCCTAACAATGTGATAAGGTCAACTGTGCAATCGAAGTATTCAGGGGTCTGAGAGATTGATCAAGGACTCAAAGTCAGCTGTTGACAGAACAACACTGCTGTAAAATAATTAATATTTTATGTGAAGAGTGTTCAATCCCTCATTCCTGGTTCCCATTAGGATTTCCTCATTTGATTGAGGTTATGGCCCTTTACTATTATGCTTCTTTTGATTTATCATAAGGGAAGATATAAGAAGACTGTGCTAACTAATACGTTACAGAATGTTCAGGAAAGAGAACCCTAGGGAAAAACTATGAATTACATCAGCTGATGTAATCATGTAATTTTAAACATATAATTCTACATTTAGATAATTATTATGCTTTATACTAATATAAATGTGACATCTAAGATTCAGAATGGACTTCAAAGTACGGCTATACATATAAAGCTCTGCATTAATTCACACTGTACCACAGTTCTGATAGGCACTCCTTCCTTATGTGCCTTAGTGTTTCCAGGAGCAGGATTCTCACCATGCTGCGATAAAAATGAGCATTTGACTTTGTACTCAGAATTGTACTAAAAGCTTTCTATGCTTCATATTTTTATTTAATTCTCACATCAGCTCAGTAAAATAAACACCGTTTTCATGCTTACAGGTGGAGAGACTAAAATGATGGAGATAAAACAAATTTTGCCAAGATACACTAGTAAACGGTACACTATAGATTGAGCCAAATTATATACCTCTCAAGCTCAGTCATTAGATCATACTCCTTCAGAAAGAAGGGGAAAAGCAAAAGAAAAAGAAAAAAGAAACAAATTTGTGAAAAAAAGAAACTAATTGTGATAGTAGTAATCCAGGAAATCAGCTAAGGTTCACGTTAGTATTTCAGGATAAAAGGGTGGTGATGCTGGCAGTGGCGAGCTGTCCAGAGTGGCCGGCTACAGCGGGAAGTTGCAAGCGGTGGCGGCAGGAGCCACTGAGGGAGTAGTGGCCGTGGTGGGACCCTTGTGCCCCATGTCCCCTGTGCCTTGCGTCACTGAGGCAGCTGACTGCACTGACCCCACTCTTGAACAGCCAGCAGGACTGCCCCCAGGCCCAGAGCCTTCACTCCTGCGTTGCTGCTCTCACCTTGCAGTCGTGGGGAGAGCATGGAGCTGGGGCCACCCTTCAGTGACCCGGGGTGGGACATGGGAGTGGCCTCACTTTGAGGACCCGCCCTGCCAAGGGCGCCCAGTTCCTGCGCCTCAGGAAGAGGCTCTGCTTGAGGCCGTCCAGGGTTTTGTCCCCGCGGGTGGCCACCCAGCCTGATGCTCCTGACAGCCAGGCCCGGGCTGTGATCTGTTCCCCAAGGTGCCTCCCCCGCCCCATCCAGGCGAGAAGGAGCCCCGGGCACCCTGAGTGCTAGCAGAATAACTTGCAGAGACATCACCCTTGCCCCAGATGCTGGCCTGCGCCCAGCGAGGGGAGCTGCCCACCCCAGGCTGCCAGAAGGTGTGACAGGGGATACCTGCAGGCTCCATGGAATGGGTTGGAAACCCCACCCTCCCGGCCCTCCCCACAGGCAACACGATCCAGGCCTCTCTACACTCCACTCCCTCAAGGCTGAGAAGGCCCTCCTGTCCATGCAGGCTTGGGGGTGTCTGTTCCCACTTTCTGGCCTCTCCTTTGGCCTCACCCGGGTCCCAGGTGCCCACTCTGATCTCAGAGTGGAGTTGGGGCAAAGCCCCAGTGCTGTCACAGACTGGCTGGGTGTGTGCACGTTCAGGGCAGTGTTGACACACCAGGCTTTTGCCACCTCAGTCACAGGGAAGCCAAGGGAAGATGGGCATGTAATATTTGAAGTAAGTTTCTTATAGGGAGCATGTCGAAGAGTCATTGCTTTTCACTCTGGCATTTGTCTTTTTACACACTTTACATGTAATGCAATTATTAATATGTGAGCTCTTATGACTGCCATCTGCTTTTTGTTTTCTTTTTTGTTTCCTTTGGTTTTTTCTTCTCTGGTTTCTTTTCCTATTTTCCAATGTGTTCCTTAAGCAATTTTTAGAATTCCATTTTTAAATCAATCTTTTTTTGGTGTATCTCATTGTATAGTTTTCGTGATTTATCTGTCTGTTAACATAACTTATCATAGTCTACTGGTGCTGACATTTTACCAATTTGACTAAAGTGTGGAAACTTTACCTCCTTTATAATCCTTTCCACTTCTGCATGTGTAATATATATGTTTTATTTTCTCTACTTGCATCAAAATCACATCTTGTCAGTGTTGTAATTTTTGCCTCAACCATCAAGTTAATTTACAAAACTGAAGAAGTCTGTTGTATCTAACCATATTTTTACTCATTTGCTGTTTACTTTTTTCCCAATTGTCCAAGATTTCTTCCATTATCATTTCTATTCCAGTTAAAGCACTTCCTTTAGCCCTTGTTTTAACATAAGTCTGCTAGCATGAAATTCTCTTGATTTTCCTTCCTCTAAGTATGTCATGGCCATGTGCAGTGGCTCACGCCTGTAATCCCAGCACTTTGGAAGGCCAAGGCAGGCGGATCCCATGAGCTCAGGAATTCGAGACAAGCCTGGGCAACATGGCAAAACCCTGTCTCTGCCAAAAATACAAAAAATTAGCCAGGCGTGGTGGTGTGTGTCTGTAACCCCAGCTACTCAGGAGGCTGAGGTGTGAGGATCACACGAGCCTGGGAGGCAAAGGCTGCAGTGAGCCGTGGTCGCGCCACTGCACTCCAGCCTGGGTTTTTTTTTTTAAGATGGATCAAAACTCCATCTAAAAAACGAAAAACAAACAAAAAAAGAAAAATAAAAGAAAAAAAAAGTCATGATAGAACATTTTATAATAATGTTTTTACTGGATATACATTCTAGGTTAACATTCCTTTCAGCCGTTAAAATATCTTGTGCCACTTCTGTCTGGTCTGCATGATTTCTAATGAGCAATCCACTGTCATTTAATTTATTTTCTCCTGTGCATGAGATGTCCTTTCTCTCTTGTTGCTTCCGAGATTTTTTTTGGCATAAATTTCTTTGGATTTATTTTCATTTGGGTTTGCACAGATTCTTGAATTTTTACATTTAAGCCTCTGTCCAAATTTGGAAAGCAGTCAGTCTTCCTTCAAGCACTCTTTGGGCATCACCCATTTGTCATTTCCCTCTAAGACTCCAGTGACACAAATTTCATACCTTTTGTTATAGTCTTACAGATTTATCAGCATGAAATAATACTAAATATTATGAACAAGGAAGATCCTGTCAAAAAAAAAAAAAACACACACACACAAAGAAAGAAAAAAGAAAAGAAGAAATTGTGAAAAAAAGAAACTAATGGTGATGATGGTAATCTAGGAAAGCCATCTAAGGTTCACCTTAGCATTTTAGGATAAAAGGGTGGTGATGATGGCAGTGGCGAGCTGTCCAGAGTGGCTAGTTGCAGTGGTAAGTTGCAAGCGGTGGTGGCAGGAATGACTGTGGGAGCAGTGGCCATGGTGGGACCCCTGTGCCCCATGTCCCCTGTGCCTTGTGTCCCTTAGGCAGCTGACTGTGCTGCCCCAACCCTTGAGCAGCCAGCAGGACCCGCCCCCAGGCCCAGAGCCTCCACCAGTCCTGCATTCCTGCTCTCATCCTATAGCTGTGGGGAGGGCATGAAGCTGGGGCCATGCCTCAGGGGCCTGGGGTGAGAAGTGGGAGTTGCCCCACTTTGGGGACCCATCCAGCGGCAAGGCCACTGTCCCACCCTGCCGAGGGAGCACTGTTCCTGGGTCTCAGGAGGAGGCTCTGTCTGAGGCCGCCCAGGGTTGTGCCCTCGGGGGTGGCCACCGAGCCTGATGTTCCCCATGGCCAAGCCCTGCTGAGATCTGCTCCCCAAGATGCCTCCCCGACCTTATCCAGGCAAGGGAGATCCCTGGGCACCCCTGAGTTCTAAGAGAAGATCTTGCAGAGACATCACCTTTGCCCCAGATGCCGGCCTGGGCCCAGTGAGTGGAGCTGCCCACCCCAGGCTGCGAGGTGTGACAGGGGCTACCTGCCGGCTCCACGGATTGGGTGGGAGACCCACCCTCCCACAGCAGGATCCAGGCCTCTCTGCGCTCCACGCCCTCAAGGCCGAGAAGGACTCCGTGTCCCTGCAGGTTCCGGGGTGTCTGCTCCCACTGCCTGGCCTCTCCCCTGGTCTCTCCCAGCTCCCGCTCTGATCTCAAAGTGGAGTCGGGCCCAGTCCCGTTGCTGTCACAGCCTGGTCAGGTGTGCGCACACTCAGGGCAGCATTGACATATCAATCTCTTGCCACCTCAGCCATGGGGAAGCCGGGGGAAGCTGAGGGAAGATGGGCTGAGGGAAACTGGTGTGGCCTACAGGTGCCCCTTGGCATGAGCAGCCTGGTCACCATGGATAGCAGTGGGAGGCAAACAGCTTCCTGGGAAGAAAGAGGCAGGTCTCTGGTGAGGCCCTGCTCACCAGGCTGGGCTGCCAGTCCTGCTGACAGCAGTGGGAACTTGTGCCTTTTCTGGGCCTGCCCCATGGCCACCCATGATGTGCACTTCCTCCCCTCTGAGGTCCGTAAAAGCCCTGGGCTCAGGCCGACTTGAGCAGAGGATGGAGAGAGGACAGGGAGATGAGGGATGAACTGCTGCAGAGAGGAGTTGCCCTCCCCAGGGTCTCCTCTCTGCTGAGAACTGAGGAGAGAATAGGATGTTCAGCTGCAGAGAGGAGCTACCCTCTCTGCTGAGAGCTGAACAGGTGTCAGGACAACCTGGCTATGGAGAGAAGCTGCCCACTGCAGGTCTCTGAGCTGTTCTATGGCTTAATAAAGCTCCTCTTTGTCCTGTTCACCCTCCACTTGTCTGCATACCTCATTCTTATTGGACTCAGGACAAGAACTGGAGATCTGCCAAATGGTGAGGCTAAAAAAGCTGTGACACAAACACGGCTGAAACATGCCCCTTGCTCACCATGTCGTGAGCAAAGAGAAGGAGGGAAGAGCTGTGGCTCTTCAGGGAGCCCAAACCTGGGAGCTCACTGAGCCAGGGCTGTGACTCACTTTTTGGGGCCTGTGATTCCTGGGGTCTCCAAGCTTCCAGGTGCCACGTTGTTCCCCAGTGCCAGCTGTGGAAGCTGCTTGTGGTGTGCCTGGTCTAGCTGCAGCCTCACAGGGAGCTGACACCCATGGCAGCACCTAGAGCTGCCTGCCCTGCACAGACAACCTGCCTGGCTTTGCACAGTGGCTGGACCCCATGCTCAGTTGCTCACACATCCCTCGACACCTGATTCACCCTTGGCAGGTGTGGGATCCAGGCCGGTAGTGTGAGCTGAGCACTGCATGCCAGGCAATGTGGGTGGAATGAGCCCAGCTGGCCCGAGTAAAACTCAGGCAAAGGCATTACCAGCCACAGGATTCTGGGAAGAAAAGCAACACCCCAATGATCCCGTAACAGTGACATGGTTAGCCTGGCTCTGTTTCCCCCACCAAATCTCATCTTAAACTGTAAGCCCCATAATCTCCACATGTCCAGTGTGGGACCTGGTGGGAGGTGATTAGATCATGGGGGCCGTTTCCCCCATGCTGTTCTTGTGATAGTGAGTGAGTTATCACGAGATCTGATGGTTTTTATAAGTGTTTGACAGTTCCTCCTATGGGTACATTCTCTCTCGCCTGCTACTGTATAAGATGGCCCCCTTCCTCTTCCGCCATGATTGTAAGTTTCCTGAGGCCTTCTTATCCATACAGAACTGTGAGTCAATTAAACCTTTTTCCTGCCAGACACAGTGGCTCATGCCTGTAATCCTAGCACTTTGGGAGACCTAGGCGGGTGGATTAGGAGGTCAGGGGATCAAGACCCTCCTGGCTAACACGGTGAAACCCTGTCTCTACTAAAAATACAAAAATTAGCTGGGGCTGGGTGTGGTGGCTCACACCTGTAATCCCAGCACTTTGGGAGGCCAAGGTGGGCAGATAACCTGAGGTTGGGAGTTCGAGACCAGCCTGACCAGCATGGAGAAATCCTGTCTCTACTAAAAAAATACAAAAATCAGCCGGGCATGGTGGCGCATGCCTGTATTCCCAGCTACTCGGGAGGCTGAGGCAGGAGAATTGCTTGAACCAGGGAGGCGAACGTTGCAGTGAGCCGAGATTGCGCCATTGCACTCCAGGCTGGGCAACAAGAGTGAAACTTAGTCTCAAAAAAAAAAAAAAATTAACCAGGCATTGTGGCATGCGCCTGTAGTCCCAGTTACTTGGGAGGCTGAGGCAGGACACTCACTTGAACCCAGGAGGCAGAGGTTGCATTGAGCTAAGTTCGCAACACTGCACTCCAGCCTGGTGACAGATCGAGATTCCATCTCAAAAAAAGAAAAAAAAAGGAAATTTTTTTTCTTTGAGATGGAGTCTTGATCTGTCGCCAGGCTGGAGTGTGATGGCATGATCTCAGCTCACTGCAACCTCTGCCTCGTGGGTTCAAGCGACTGTCCTGCCTCAGCCTCCCAAGTAGCTAGGACTACAGATGAGCACCACCACGCCCAGCTAATTTTTTTTTTTTTTTGTATTTTTAGTAGAGATGGGGTTTCACCTTGTTGGCCAGGATGGTCTCGATCTCTTGACCTTGTGATCTGCCCACCTCGGCCTCCCAAAGTGCTGGGATTACAGGTGTGAGCCACCACGCCTGGCCCCTTTTTCTTTATAAATTACCCAGTCTCAGGTATTTTCTGATGGCAATGTAAGAATGAACTATTACAGGCAGCAAACAAAAGTAATTATTTATCAATAACATACTGAAATAGTGTTAATGGGGGCATTTTCAAAACTTGTTCCCATGATTTTATTATCTCCATGAAATGCTTCTGGAATATACCACATAGAATTCTTTCTCTACTGTGCAATTTTCTGAACATTCTATGGGGACATTTTTCATTTACTTATTGCTTCAAGTTTCTTCAAATAGTAATTCTTCCGAAATACTATACTATTTTGATGGTTCCTGGATGAATTTTCTGGTGTTTGAACTGGTTATTTGCAGTGAAGGGAGCTAGAGGATTTATGTGATCCCTTCATCCTGAATTGTCTGAATGTCGAATGTATCATATAAGCTCTGGAATTGTTAAGAGTAGGCAGAGAGCCAGAAATGAGCAGGCAAGGGAGTCCCTGGGAAAAGAAGTCCTGGAGTCACTGCCCACTGATAATCAGCACTGCACACTAGTAGTAAAAAGGACAATGGCTTACACTGGCTACATCTGGCCTTGTGGTTGGGCTCCTCTGGCCCTGGAGGGGACTTAACAGGCCTTAGCCACAAACAGCCATGGCAGGGACTTTCTCCACTGATGAAATGGTGCATTCCTCCAATAACTTACCTAGAATAGCCTTTTGCTCACTATAATAGTAAAAAACACAGCTCTGGGTGGAGATTTTTAATACTGAGGCATGCAACATGTGCAGTAGCAAGTACAAGACAGAGCATGCGCACCCAAAGAGTCTTCCTGAAACATGTTTGCAAGTAACACCCCCTC
Organism: Homo sapiens; assembly: GCF_000001405.40. NCBI lineage: Eukaryota > Metazoa > Chordata > Mammalia > Primates > Hominidae > Homo > Homo sapiens. Next base: position 3,798,440 of record NT_167246.2, read on the forward strand.
AGGCCCCTTCATGAATAATCATGTGAGATTCTCATAAAGAGACTCCTTCAGCACTGACTGCTGCTGGCTCCTCCTTTTGAGCAGCTTACACTGTCTCCTCTTTCAGAGCGTACTGTCTCTTTAAATAAACACGGCTACTACTATTTTTCCAGCTGGAACATCCCAGAGCTGTTTTCCACTCCTCTCTAGGAATGTACTTTATCTTGCTTCAATAAACTCTGCTACTCAACCGTTGCTATGCATCTCTTGGCTGAATTCTTTCTTCCAAGTTAGACAAGAATGGAAGATTTGTACACTTCTTAGAAACAGAATTAATCAGAAATATCCAGGCTCATTGGGTTGGTCTCTTTCTGAGCATGTGCAGGCAATTCTATTGCTGTGGTCTAGTCCTCAGCAGGACAACGCTAAAGTAGGGTTTGTTTGTTGGGAGATCTCTGCTGGGCGATTGGTTCAGCAACAGTTTTTGGTTCTTGAGCCTGCAGGTCAATGACATGTCTGTATCTTCAGTAGAGTGAATCTGAAACCCCGGGATTTGGCCTCTGAGAATGGGTGAGACAGATGGAGAGGAGGAGATAGAGGGTAGACTGTGGAGCAGAATGAGAAGAAGACCCACAAATATTACAAGATTTACATATCAGCATTGCTCATTCTAGACTTCAAGAGGAATGAGATTAGACACTGCAGATTGACATTGCCTGTTCCTTTAGAAAAAGCCTTGGATGCCTGTTTTATTACCAGGAGAACAGTCTGACTTATTACTGAAACCATTATATATTTGGACATGTGTATTTGGGTGGAAAAACTGAGTAATGGGAGCAGTGGCAGGACACGTCATTAAGGTGAGAAGAAAATATTAGAAAAACAGTGAGCTATTGCTCATTTGTCTGTAAAAGTATGATGATACTTATTTCTAAAATGGTTACTAGAACCTACCACAAACCATAAAGGTGAATTATCAATGACAGTGTGATAGACTGCAAATAAATATTGAGTTAGATTTGGATTTCATCTGGGCTGTATCATGTACTAGGTATGTTTTCACTTGTATCCTACTTATCTTAGCCTCAGATTCCTCATAAAAATACTGCTGTTAATTTTTACTACATTGAATTATTATCAGAATTAAAGGAAAAATGTAAGCAAAGTAATTAGGTACCATCTTTGGTGATCATAAAATATTGCAAAAACTAAACTTTCCATTGTTTTCATCAAAATTTCTACAGCCGAATTTTATAAAATAAAACAATCACACACCAAGGAGGCACAACCTTGTAACACTTACTAATAAATAACAAGTTTCTCTACCTATGGTTTATAGAATCCAAGCAGAATTTTGAGAATATTACAGATAGAATAGGCGTACATATTTTGTAACATATCTATAATTTCAATATAAGATAAGTAGATGAGCAATATAGAATGCAGTAAATGCAGACAAATATGGAATAAAAAAGCAAAAATAAATCCATATCATTCCACGTAACAAAACCATTTTTTAAAGTAGTTTTAGGTGTAAAGAAAAATTGTGGAGAAATTTCAGGTAGTTCCCACATCCCTTCTTTCCTAAAACAGCCCTCTGCTCAGTTTCTCCTATTACTAACATCCTGCATCAGTGTGGTACACTTGTTACAAATGATGAACCAATACTGATACTTACGTTAACTGAGGTCCATAGTTGAATTAGGGTTCATTCATATTATACAGTTCTATGGGTTTTGATCAATACATAACATCATATATTCACCATTAAAGTCAAACTGACCCGAGTCCCATAGACAGTTTTTCTTTTAAATCTGCATTTAAATGGACACTTCTGATCTTAAATTTAAACTTATATTTGTCTCATCTGAGTTTCTTTGCAAAAAAAGATTCCCCAGGCCTCTTAAAAAGTATCAAAGAACTGGAACTCACCAGATCGTCTCATCCAAACAATGAGACTCCAGGTTCCCCATTCATCATGATTGTTCCCTTACCCCTCTCTAGTTCCTGTTTTCCCATACATAGTTACATTTCTTCCCTGCTAGATAAACTCCTAATTGTAGTCAGTCACAGAGATGGATTTGACACTGGTCTCCCATCTCCTCAGCTGCAGCACCTGATTAAAGATTAAAGCCTTCTTCTTTGGCAGTGCTCATTGTCATCTCAGTGGTTGGCTTTGTGTGTGGTGAGCAGCAAGATCCAGACCAAAGCCCTTGTGTGCAAGACCTAGACTGAACCCCTGGTGTTTCAGTAACAAAAGTATCCTACGAAGTAGTTTTGCTGACCTAAAATTGTCCCAGGCTCCACCTATTCATCTATTCTTCTTCCTCCTGAACCCCTGGAAACCACTATTTACTGTATGTATTTTTGCCTTTTCCAGAATGTTATATAGTTGTAATCATATGGGATATAGTTTTTTTTTAGCTGGCTTCTTTCACTTAACAATATGCATATAGGTTTTCTCCATGTCTGTTCATAGCTTGATAGCTTATTTCTCTTTAATTTTAAATGATAACCCATGATATAGATATACCACAATTTGTTCACCCACTCACTTACTGGAGGACATTTTGGTTGCTTTGAATTTTTGGCAATTATGAATAAAGCTTCTATAAACATTCGTATACACTTGTTTGTATGGACAGAATTTTCCACTCATTTGGGTAATACTCAGGATTGAAATTGCTGAATCTTATGGCAGAGTATGTTTAGCTTTGTAAGAAACAGCTAGAGTGTCTTCCAGGCATGGTGGCTCACTCCTGTAATCCCAACACTTTGAGATGCCAAGTCGGGCAGATCACGAGGTCAAGAGATTGAGACCATCCAGGCCAATGTGGTGAAACCCCATCTCTACTAAAAATATAAAAATTATCCGGGGGTGGCAGTGTGCGCCTGTAATCCCAGCTACTTGGGAAGCTGAGGCAGGAGAATTGCTTGAATGGGGGAGGTGGATGTTGCAGTGAGCTGAGATCATGGCACTGCACTCCAGCCTGGCAAAAGTGCAAGACTCCATCTCAAAAGGAGCTAGACAAATCCATGGTATTTCAGTAACAAAAGCATCATACAAAGTAATTTCCCTAACTATGCCTGAGGCTCAACCTATTCACCCATCTCTGCTCCTCCTGAAACCCTGGTCTATTTACTCTCTGTATTTTTGCCTTTTCCACAGTGTCATATAGTTGTGCTTTTACAGTATAGAGCTTTTCAGCCTGGCTCCTTCCACTTAGCAATATGCCTATAAGTTTGTTCCATGTGTCTTCATAGCTTAATAGCTTATTTCTCTTTACTGTTGAACAATACCCCATGGTATGGATATATCACAATTTCTTTATCAATTCACCTATTGTGGACATCTTGGGGGCTTCAAGTTTTTGGCAATTATGAATAAAACTGCTATAAACATTCATGTATGGGTATTTGTGTGGATATAAGTTTTCCACTCATTTGCTCAGAGGTGCCATTGCTGGATTGTATAGTAAGAGTATGTTGAGCTTTGTAACAAACAGCCAGAGAGCCTTTCAAAGTGACTGTACTGTTTTGCATTCCCGCCAGCAATGAATCAGAGTCCTTGTTTTTCTAAATCCTTGCCAGCATTTGGTTCTGTGAGGGTTTTGGATTTCAGCCAGAAAATAAAAAATGCTTTTTAAAAACGTTTTACTTTGAAATCATTATAGAGTCACAAGAAATTGCAAAGACAGAACAGAGAACATATGTGTGCCCTTTCACCCAGATTTTCCAAATGTTTATATTTTAAGTAGCTCTAGTGAGAGGTGAAGCCGGCTGGGCTTCTGGGTCAGGTGGGGTCCTTGGTAGAAGTTGTTAGTTGAGCTCATTTTGGGTTCTATTTGTAAGACCATCTGTAGCTTGATGGCCTCGATTCTAGAGGAAACAAATTTGACAAGGAGGTTAAAAATACAGGGCCCGAAGGCGAGTAATAGCAAGATGGCTGCCACGGGACCTAGAAAGGGGAGAAGCCATGTTGCCCAACTCCAGAGGTTGGTATAAGAGTTTGAAAGGCATTGTCTGATTTCAGAAGCCTTTTCCTGTGGGAAGGCTTAAGGCTGGAGCTTGAGTTCGTTCCTTCCAATGCCCAGACTTCAGAGTTGATTCCCTCCTCAATCAGGGGACAACAAATGGATAACTTTTTCCCCATATTCATGTAGATAATGTCTCCAGCTTTGGCTAATACGTCCCTCCCTAAAAAAGGTATGGGACTTTCAGGCATAACAAGAAAGGCATGTGAAAAGAGCAAAGTCTCCCAATTACAGCTGAGGAAGTGGGAGAAATACCTGGTTACAGGCTGTCCCGGGATTCTTTGGATGGTAACAGACCTTGGGGACAGCTGTCCGGGACCGGAGATTAACACTGAGAAAGCCATGCCGGCGTCCAGGAGGAAGTCAATTTCCTGGCCCTCAATGGTTAAACGTACCCTGGGCTCAGTGAGGGTGAGGAAATGAGCTGGCGCTTGCCCCGGGCACCCTCAGTCCTGTTGTTGGATCATCTGGTTGGGAGCTTCTGGTCCAGAGAACCTTTGTCCTCTGGGGCAGTGCGCCTTCCAGTGATTGCCTCGGCATAGTGGACATGGGTGAGGGGGCAGCTTGTTTCTCATTGGACAATCTTTTTTAAAGTGTCCTTGTAAACCACACTGATAACAAGCCCTACTGGGTGACTGGCGTGCTCCATTTTCTGTCCTTTCTGAACCACCAAGGTGTATTTGTCTGAGGGCCATGACTAAGGCTGAGGCCTTTCTCTGATCTCGCCATTCCTTTTGGGCCTGTTCCTCTTGATCCCTATTATAGAACACCGAGGTTGCCAGGTTTAATAATGCCTCCAGATTTTGTTCAGGGCCCAGGGCTCGCTTTCGGGGCTTTCTTCTGATATCTGTGGCTGATTGGGTAATAAACTTATCTTTTAGGATCAAGTGACCCTCTAGTGAGCCGAGTGGCAGGAAAGTATATTTTCTTAAGGCCTGCCATAGCCATTTGAAGAAGGCAGAAGGATTTTCTTCCTTTCCTTGAGTTATGGTGGACATCATTGAATAATTCATGGGCTTTTTCCTAATTCTCCTTAGTCCTTCTAGAACACAGGTCAATGGATGTTTACAATTCCAGTCCTCATGATCTGAGTCTAGATCCCAGTGGGGATCCATACTGGGGAAGGCTTGCTGACCAGTAGGGAATTTGTCCATTTCTTCAGCTGTCATTCTGTCATTTACTTGACTAAGATACCAGGTATCTCCAAACTCTAGGGCTGCAGCTAAAGCCGCATTCTTTTCATTAAATGCCATGGTTTGATCTAACAATAGCATGACATTTCTCCAAGTGAGATCGAGGGTTTGCCCTAGACCCTGTAGGACATCTATGTACCTATCAGGATCATCTGAAAACTTCCCTGGGTCTGCCTTGATCTGCTTTAAATCAGAGAGGGAGAAGGGAACATGTACCTGGGTTGGGCCAAATTCCCCTCCCCCTAAAGCTTGAAGGGGACATAACTGATAGTCAGGGAGGTTTTGTGGTCCCTTGGAGATTTATTTGCTTGTTTCCTTATGGGTGGGGGAGATTGGAAAAAGCTTATTAATAGGAAGGTGAGCTATAGGGAGGCTAGGATATGGTGGTAAGCTGAGAGGTCCTCTGTGGGATGTAAATTGCAATCTTTGCATAGTTGTGTATTTTCCTTCAATGAAAAGAAAGGTTGGACATAAGGTATTTCACTCAATTTACCTTCCCTCTTACAGAAAATGTCAAGCTGCAGGATAGTATTGTAATTTATACTTCCCTCAGGTGGCCATTTTTCCCCATCAGAGAGAGAACATTGGGGCCAAGCCATAGTGCAGAAAAAAATGAGCCACCTCTTTTTCAGGGTTTGAAGGTCAAATTGGTCTAATGGCTTAGGATGTATTTCAAGAGTGAGCCTGTTGATGCCTGAGTGTTTCCCATCTGAAAGACAAAACCACCCGCGGTTTTGGTTTGTTTGTTTCTCCCCCTCCCCAAGAACCTGCAACAGTCCCTGGACCTTGCTGATTGGAATAGTTGTGCTCACCAACACAGCAGCAGAAACACCTCTTGCCCAAGAACCCAAAATTGTCCCTGGACCCTGCTGATCAGAATAGTTGTGCTCACCAATGCAGCAGCAGAAACACTAGTTTTCCTCCTAGACCACAAGGAGGACTGAGGAAGGTCGGATTTAGTGGCCCTTTCTGACACATTCTCGAAAACCTGCTAGAGTCCTAAGCATTCTCCCGTTAGTATTGGGATCTTACCACTGTCCTATAAAGATGTTATGCCCCAAAAATGAAATGGAGGGCCATACCCTGAGGGAGGGAAAGGATCTCCAGAGTTGGATGAGTGATGCCTTTTGTCCTCAATTATATGAATAGGAAAGATACTATTTCTGAAGTTCCCCATATCCTAGCTTCAGGAATAGCTTTTGTTAGGTCTGCTAGTCTGAGGAGGGATCCTAAAATTCCAGAGAGTCCCCTCCTTGACGGGGCTTTGGGCAAAAATTACATCTTTCTGATTGGTGAGTCCGGGTGCCTAAAGAAGGGAATAGAGTCCTGGAGTTTATACTAGAAATCATTCCTATAGGAGAAACTAGAAAAGCACCAGAGACAGGGAGTGGTTTTTAGAAGCAAGACTAGCCTCGGAGAAGAGAGGCAAGAGGAAGTTTGTTGGACAGGCGTTAGGACCCAGGAGACAAGGGTCAGGATAGATAGGATACATGGGCGAGTCTTGCTTGGGTGACATGACTTTGAGAGCTCCGCTCATGGCCGCAGGGTCAACCAACTTTTTGTCGGGAACCCCGGAGCTGAATGGCTTTCCTCCCTGTCAACCCTCAGCTCAGTCAGGAAGTACAGTAAAAGCAGAAGCTGGTTCCAGGCAAACCAACGCTCCCAACTCCGAAGAGTTGGGGGTTGTTACAGAGCCCTTTCCCAGAAAGCCTGTCACCGGTGTCTTTAGTCCAGCAGCCACACTCGTTGCTTTTAACTGGCTGACAGGTGCCTGGTATTTAGCCCCCGAATTCCAAGGAAAAATAGCACAGAAAACCAAGCAAGAGGGGTCTGATGGTACTCACCACTTGGTGATAATCGATGGTCCCATCTGGGTCACCAAATGTGTCCTTTCATGGTTGCCAAAATGTATCCAGAATTGGTTCCTTCTGGTGGGTTCTTGGTCTTGCTGACTTCAAAAATGAGGCCATGGACCCTCGCGGTGTGTCCGGAGTTTGTTCCTTCCCACTGTTCAGATATGTCCAGAGTTTCTTCCTTCTGGTGGGTTCGTGGTCTTGCTGACTTCAGGAGTGAAGCCACAGACCTTTGCAGTGAGTGTTACAGCTCTTGAAGGTGGAGCGTCCAGAGTTGTTTGTTCCTCCTGGTGGGTACGTGATCTCACTGACTTCAGGAATGAAGCTGTAGACCTTCGTGGTGAGTTTTACAGCTCATAAAAGTAGTGTGGACCCAAAGAGTGAGCAGCAGCAAGATTTATTGTGAAGAGCAAAAGAACAAAGCTTCCACAGCATGGAAGGGGACCCAAGCGGGTTGCCACTGCTGACTCAGGTGGCCAACTTTTATTCCCTTCTTTAGGCACCCAGACTCACCAATCAGCACTCTGTAAAAATGCACCAATCAGTGCTCTGTGTCTAGCTAAATGTTTGTACATGCACCAATCAGCACTCTGTAAAAATGCACCAATCAGTGCTCTGTGTCTAGCTAAAGGTTTGTAAACACACCAATCAGCACTCTGTAAAAATGGACCAATCAGCACTCTGTAAAATGGACCAATCAGCAGGACGTGGGTGAGGCCAAATGAGGAAATAAAAACTGGCCACCCCAGCCAGCAGCGGCAACCCACTCCGGTCCCCTTCCATGCTGTGGAAGCTTTGTTCTTTTGCTCTTCACAATAAATCTTGCTGCTGCTCACTCTTTGGGTCCGCACTACCTTTATGAGCTGTAACACTCACCGCAAGAGTCTGCGGCTTCATTCTTGAAGTCAGTGAGACCATGAACCCACCAGGAGGAACAAACAGCTCTGGACACACCACCTTTAAGAGCTGTAACACTCACTGCGAAGGTCTGCAGCTTCACTCCTGAAGTCGGCGAGACCACGAACCCACCAGAAGGAAGAAACTCTGGACACATCTGAACATGGGGAAGGAACAAACTCCGGACACACCATCTTTAAGAACTGTAACACTCACTGCAAGGGTCTGTGGCTTCATTCTTGAAGTCAGCGAGACCAAGAACCCACCGGAAGGAACCAATTCCAGACACACTAGCACAGTAGCAAAACCAGGAAACTGACTTTGGTATAATATGTGTCCATTGTTCTATGCCTGTGTCTTATCATATTTGCAGATTTATGTAACCACCACACAATCCAATGGAGAGCTATTCCATCCCACAGAGATCTCCCACCATGCTGCCCTTTAGAGTCATGCCCTACTCCTTACACACTGTCACCCTGACAACTGACAACCACTAATCTGTTCTCCACCAATCTCTAGAATAGTGTCATTTTGAAAATGTTACATAAATAGAATCACACAGTATGTGGTTTTTGTGACTGGCATTTTCCCTTCAGCATAATGTCCTTGAGATCCATCCAAGTTGTTGCATGTATCAACAATTTGCTCTTTTTTATTGCTAAGGAATACTTCATTAGATGGAGCCACTGAAGTTTAACTATTTGCCTTTTGAGGGACATTTTGGCTGTTTCTAGTTTGGGGGCTATTACAAATAAAGCCGTTGTGAATGTGAACATTTGCACAAGATTTTTGTGTGAACATGTGTTTTTATTTCTCTGATATAAATGTCCCAGAATGTAATTCTTGGCTCATATGGCAAATATATGTCTAGTTCTTCAAGACACTGCCAAACTATTTTCTAGAAAGACTGTGCCATTTTACATTCTCACTATCAATGTGCGTGAAATCCAGTTTTTCTGCATTCTCACTAGCATTTACCATTGTTTTTTAAAAAAATTTAGCTGTATTAAGAGGTGTGGGGGGCCAGGGGCGGTGGCTCACGCCTTAATCCCAGCACTTTGGGAGGCCAAGGCAAGCGGATCATGAGGTCAGGAGATGGAGACCATCCTGGCTAACATGGTGAAACCCCGTCTCTATTAACAATACAAAAAATTAGCTGGGCGTGGTGACGGGCACCTGTAGTCTGAGCTATTCCTGAGGCTGAGGCAGGAGAATGGCATGAACCCAGGAGGCGGAGCTTGCAGTGGGCCGAGATCACGCTACTGCACTCCAGCCTGGGCGACAGAGGGAGACTCTGTCTTAAAAAAAAAAAAAAAAAAAAAAAAAAAAAAAAAAAAAAAAGAGGTGTGTAGTGCTATTACATCAAGTTCTTAATTTGCATTTCCCTGATGGCTAGTGATTTGCATGTCATTCATTGTGCTTATTTGCCATATACACATATCTTCTGTGATAAAATGTGTCTTCATATCTTTTGCCCATTTTGTAATTAAATTTCATAGTCTGCACTCTATAGATTTTATAGTAAAGCGTTTATAGTTGATTATATATTCTAGATAATGTATTTTTGGTAATATATGTGGTTTTAAATATTTTCTCCATGTCTTTAGCTTACTTTTCATTTCTTAGCAGGATACCTTACAGAAAAACAGTTTTAAATTTTGATAAAGCCCCATCTATTGATTTTGTTTGTTTTTTGTATTTGTGTGTTTTTTTGTTTTTGTTTTTGTTTTTTTCCAAGACAGTCTTGCTCTGTAGCCCAGGCTGGAATGCAGTGGCACAATCTTGGCTCACTGCAAGCTCCACCTCCCGGGTTCATGCCATTCTCCTGCCTCAGCCTCCCATGTAGATGGGACTACAGGTGTCCGCTACTATGCCCGGCTAATTTTTTGCCCGGCCTGCGTTTTTGTTTTTTACACACAGAGTTTTGGTGTCATGTCTACAAACTCAGAACTCAGACACCAGGCCCTAGCTCCTGACGATTTTCTCATATGTTTTTCGAAACCTTTAACGTGTAGACATGATTTAATTGGGGGTAAATGTTTTCATGAGATGTGAGAATTTGTTACGTTTCTTTCTTGCATCTTTTTCCTCTGCTTCCTTTTTTATTTTGTTTGGTTTTGTTTTTGTCTATGGATTTCCACTTTCTCCTGGACCGTATTTTGAAAAGACTATAGACTATATTACCTCCATTGAATTATTATGATTCTTTGTCAAAATGAATTGGCATAGGCGTTTCCCTATGTTGGTCAGGTTGGTCTGGAAATCCCGATCTCAAGTGATCCACCTGCCTTGGCCTCTCAAAATGCTGGGATTACAAGTGTGAGCCCCAGAGTTCTACCCTCATATTCTTTTTTTCCCTTCTTGTTTTAGGTTATTTTGGACTGCTTTTTTAGATTCTTGAGGTGGGAACTGAGATTATTGGTTTCTGACCTTTTCTCTTTTTCAGTGTGTACATTTTGTACTATAAATAGTTTTTCAAAGCACTGCTTTAGCTAATGACCAAAGATTTTGATATGTTATATTTTCATTTTCACTTAGTTGAATACATTTTTTATTTTCCTTAAGACATCTTTTTTGATCCACAGGTAATTTAAAAGTATGTTATTTAGTTTCCATGTGTTTGGAGTTGTACCGATTTTCTTCACGTTATTGATTTCTGGTTCAACTCCATTGCTTCCAGAGAACACAGTCTGTATGATTTCAATTCTTTCACATTTGTTGAGGTTTTTATTATGGTCCAGGGTTTGATCTACATTGGTAAATATTCCATGGACAGTTAAAAATGTGTATTCTTCTGTTTGGTGTGGTGGTCTGTAAATGTCTATTAGATCTTATTGGTGGATAGTTTTGTTGGGTTTCATTATCTGGCTGAGTTTTTGTACAGTTGTTTTATTAATATTTCAGAGATGGTTTGTGAAGTCTCAAAGTTTAATTGTGTATTTGTCTATTTCTCCTTCCAGTTCTGACCATTTTTGCTCTACTTATTTGTAACTCAGTTTTCTGATGCATACACATTTCGAGTTGCTATGTCTTCGTTCTGAATTAACGTTTTTATCTTTAGTGTTTCTGTTTATCTCTTAGAATATTCATTGCTCTGTGTATTTTATGTTATCTGATATTATAGCCATTTCTGCTTTCTTTGACAAATGTATGGTTTATTTTTTTCCGTTCTTCTATTTCAACCTTCCACTCTTGTAATATTTGCAGTAAGTTTCTAGTAGTGAGAAGTGAAGCCAGTTGGACTTCTGGGTTGGGTGGGGACTTGAAGAACTTTTCTGTGGCTAGCTAGAGGTTTGTAAAATGCACCAATCAGTGCTCTGTAAAAACACACCAATCAGTGCTCTGTGGCTTGCTAGAAGTTTATAAAATGGACCAATCAGCACTCTGTAAAATGGACCAGTCAGCACTCTGTAAAATGGACCAGTCAGTACTCTGTAAAATGGACCAATCGGCAGGACATGGGTGGGGGCAAGTAAGGGAATACAAGCTGGCCACCCTAGCCAGCAGCAGAAAGCTGCTCCGGTCCCTTCCTGCACTGTGGAAGCTTTGTTCTTTTGCTCTTCACAGTAAATCTTGCTGCTGCTCACTCTTTGGGTCTGTGCCAACTTTAAGAGCTATAACGCTCACTATGAAGGTCCGCGACTTCATTCTTGAAGTCAGTGAGACCACAAACCCCATTGTTGAAGTCAGTGAGACCACGAACCCACTGGAAGGAACAAACTCTGGACACAGTAGGTAGTATATCTGTGGTTCATTATTTTTCACTCTGACGTTTGTCTTTTCAGACAATTTACATGTAATGCAATTATTAATATGTGAGTTCTTATGACTGCCATCTGCTTTTTGTATTCTTTTTTGTTTCCTTTGGTTTTAGCTTCTCTGTTTGCTTTTCCTGTTTTTTGATGTGTTCCTTAAGCAATTTTTAGAATTCCATTTTGTAATCAATCTTTTTTGGCATATCTCATTATATAGTTTTTGTGATTTATCTATTAACATAACTTATCATAGTCTACTGGTGCTGACATTTTGTCAATTTGACTAAAGTGTAGAAACTTTACTTCCTTTGTATCCCTTTCCATTCCTGCATTTATAATACACATTTTTTATTTTCTATACTTGCATCAAAAACCACATCTGACAATGTTGTGATTTTTGCCTCAACCATCAAATTAATTTACAAAACTGAGGAAAAGTCTGTTGTCTCAACCCATATTTTCAATCATTCTATTGTTTATTTTTTTCCTGATCGTCCAGGATTTCTTCCATTATCATTTCTATTCCAGTGCATTTCCTTTAGCTCTTGTTTTAGGATAAGTCTGCTAGCATCAAATTCTCTTGATTTTCCTTCCTCTAAGAATGTCATGGTTTGGCGTGGTGGCTCATGCCTGTAATCCCAGCACTTTGAGAGGCCAATGCAGGTGGATCCCGTGAGCTCAAGAGTTCCAGACCAGCCTGGGCTACATGAGCAAACCCTGTCTTGGCCAAAAATACAAAAATTAGCCAGGCGTGGTGGCGCGTGTCTGTAATCCAAGCTACTCAGGAGGCTGAGGTGTGAGGATCACATGAGCCTGGGAGGCAGAGGCTGCACTGAGCTGTGGTCGTGCCACTGCCCTCAAGCCTGGATGAAAGAGCAAGAGTCCATCTATAAACAAAAAAAAAAACAAAAACAAAGAATGCCATGATAGAACCTTCATTTTATAATAATATTTTTCTGGTTATACATTCTAGGTTAACATTACTTTCAGCCATTAAAATAACTTGTGCCACTTCTGACTGGTCTGCATGATTTCTAATGAGCAATCTGCTGTTATTTGATTTATTTAGGTCATTTCTCTCTTGTTGCTTTCAAGAGTTTTTTTGGGGGAGGCTGAGGCAGGAGAATGGCATGAGCCCAGGAGGCAGAGCTGAGATCGCAGCACTGCACTCCAGCCTGGGCGACAGAGCGAGACTCCGTCTCAAAAAAAAAAAAAAAAAAAAAAAAAGGTTTTTTTATCTAAATTTCTTTGGATTTATCTTCGTTTGGGTTTGCACAGATTCTTGAATTTTTACATTTAAGTCTTTGTCCAAATTTGGAAAATAGTCTTCCTTCAAATATTCTTTGGGCATCACCCATTTGTCATCTCCCTCTAAGACTCCAATGACACAAATTTCATATCTTTTGTTATAGTCCTAGAGATTTATCAGCATGAAATAATAATAATATGAATAACTTTGCAAAATAAATTTGCATGTAATGAATAAATTACTCAAAATGTACAATGTACTGAAGCTGACAAATAACATAAAATATGAAGAGTTCCACATCTTATAGAGAAAGTAAGCCCATTCCATAAAGTTTTCCCAAGACAAAACCGCAGGCTCATCCAGTTTCAGTAACTATTTTAAACTATTTAAGGAACAAACAACACTAACTTTACACAAACTTCAAACATATTTGAAAAAAGGAAAAATACTTGCAGTTACATTTAATGAGATCTGTGTAAACTTTACTTCAAGACCTGAAAAGAACTCTACAACAAATAGGAATTTGTGGACCAATAACTCTTATGAGCCAAGTTCTTAAGAAAATATTAGCCACCTGAATTCAGTGATACAAAAGATAGCTACCAAATCATGACCAAGTGGAATTTATTCCAGAAATGCAAGGTTGTTTGAGCATTTGAGACTCAATTAGTGTGATTCACTACATTAACTGAAGGAAGGAGAATACACATGCAACCACCTGCAGAGTCATGAAATATGATTTGACAGAATTCAGCGCTTGGCCTTAATTTTTTAAAAATCTGGCCGGGCGCTGTGGCTCATGCCTGTAATCCCAGCACTTTGGGCAGCTGAGTTGGGTGGATCACCTCAGGTCGGGAGTTCAAGACCAGCCTGACCAAAAGGAGAAACCCTGTCTCTAGTAAATATACAAAATTAGCCGGGCGTGGTGGCGAGTGCCTGTAGTCCCAGGTACTCAGGAGGCTGAGACAAGAGAATCGCTTGAACCTGGGAGGCAGAGGTTGCAGTGAGCTGAGATCATGCCACTGCACTCCAGCCTGGGCAACAAGAGCAAAGCTCCGTCTCAAAAACAAAAATAAAAATAAAAACAAAAACCTGCTTGCAAACTTGTATTTAAAAGGTATTTCTTCAATCTGAGAAATGATTGCTAACCTATTGCACACATTAGTCTTAGCAGTGAAATATATGCAAAACTCTCTCTTTCATATCTGGAATAGTAGAGGAGTCAGACAATGAAAATGGCAAGAAAAATATATGAAAGAGATAATAATTGCATCCAGGTAAAATTGTCATTATTTACTGTTGACCTAATCGGGTACTTAGAAAATAAAAATAATAGACAAACTCACAGATTTAATAAATAAATATAAATAAGATTGCTGGATACAAAGTCACTATACATTAAACCAATTATGTTATTGATACAGTTTGGATGTTTGTCCTATCCAAATCTCATGTTGAAATGTAACCTCCAACGTTGTATCCTTTTATAATACAAGAATTTTAAACAATATTTTTTTCTAAGGACTGCCTTGGTTGCATAACAAAAATTTTAAATATTCATTTTAGTATTATTTTATTTAAAATTATCTTCTAATTTTCCTTCTGATTTTATTTGACAAACCATAGATTATTTAGAAACGTATTATTTTACTTCCAAAAATTTGGGCAATGTTCTTCATCTTATTTATTTGTAATTTGACAAGACTGTTCAGATAATATACTCTGTATGATTTTATTCTTGTGAAAGTAATTGAGACTACTTTTATAGTCATAGTATTTGTTCTATTTCATGGATAATCTTTGTGCAATGTAAATAAATAAACATTCTGTAGTTCTCAGATGTCAGTATATATGTCAATTATAAATGCCAGCTAAGTCAAGATGGTTGAAAGCATTGTTCCTATCTTGATTTCCTTCGTGATCTTTGTTTGCACGAAGCTAGAGATGTGTGTTGTCTTCTATCGTCCTCCCTAGTTCCCACACCACCAGCATGAAGTCAGAAAAAGTTCTGGAAGGAGACTCAGCTGGCAGGGTAAAGTAGATATATATTATTCAGGGGGCCTCTATAGATTGTAATGCAGCACACCAGCTCACAGGGCTATTTACAACTCAGCTGCTTTGTCCTCAGTCGCTATCTCCCTTTCTCAGCCAGGCTCAATCTTCCCCCCATGTAAAGATTCCATAGAAGGACCAAAGAATAAGAGTGGACATTTGTCCTTGGCTCACCTAAGTGGAGTTTGTTCATCTCCGGAATTTGGAATTTTTATACTTTTTGATCTATGGTTCATTAAAATTTTAAAAATAAGATTATTTTGCAGTTTATCCATTTAGTCTAGTCTATTTTTTTTTGTTCTTGTAGTAACAGTGACAATTCTTGTAATTTTCTACCTCCTAATTGGCATTATGTTTTATGATTTTTTTCCAATTCATGTTGATAGTCCTACATAATTTACTTAAAGCCCTGTATATTATTCCTTTCTATGTCTATACCACAATTTACCCTTCTTTTTTTTTTTTGAGACGGAGTCTCCGTCTGTTGCCCAGGCTGGAATGCAGTGGCGCGATCTCGCTCACTGCAAGCTCTGCTTCCCGGATTCACGCCATTCTCCTGCCTCCGCCTCCCGAGTACCTGGGACTACGGGCGCCCGCCACCGCGCCCGGCTAACTTTTGTATTTTTAGTGGAGACGGGGTTTCACCGTGGTCTCGATCTCCTGACCTCGTGATCCACCTGCCTCGGCCTCCCAAAGTGCTGGGATTACAGGCGTGAGCCACTGCGCCGGGCCCACAATTTACCTTTCTTCTAAATATTGAGAATGTTTCTTTTCTCTCCTGTTACATTTTTTATATGTCATCATGGAGGTACAAGGAAAAATGTACCGAGACTGTAAAAACCTAGAGTGGTAATACTGTATTATCCCAACTACTCACAGGGTTACACCTATATATGCTAACAGTGCCACACACAGCACCAAATGTCATCCTGCAGTGTGCTGTCACTTCACATGCTGCATAGTTTTTATGATGTGCAAAAGTTTTATAATCAAGACAAATTAATCAGTTTTTCTTTTAGAATTTGGCAATGTTTTTGTTATTGCAAACCATGGCTCAAAACGACCAATTTTATATTTCTTTGGGCTCATGTAGGATTGTTTCCTTAAGACAGATGTTTAGAATGGGATTTTTGTTGTTTTCATCAAGCACGTAACAATTGCATTTTGAGTTTTAATAGTACACTGCCATCCACCCACAATCCTAATAATATAGGAGAATCTATTCCCATAGAATCTTCTAAATCCTTGATTTTAAAACAAACTGTTGTATTTTCCAGTTTTCAGGGGGAGAAATTGCTATTTGAATTTGGATTTTTCCATTCGTTGGTGAGTTTGAGCAAATATTTATTGACTATTGGAAGAGATTCCAATATTGACTATAGAAGAGATTCTATAGTCAATCTATATCCTTTGCCCAATTTTCCGTGGCATTTCCATTAATTAATTTATTGATTAGTTGACAATTTTTCATAAGAAAGCCCATTTTCTGCCTTATGTGATCAAAATTTTTCCTGAGCTTCATATACTTCTTTTAATTTTGTTATTTTCTTCATGCAAAGAAGTCAGTAATTTTCTTCAAATATTTTTTCATTTGTGTCTTCTGGATTTTGTCTTGCTTGCAAAGTCTTATTTTTTAAAAAAGAATTATTTTAACAGGATTCCTAAGGCTTAATTTACATGCTATGAGATTCATTCATTCTATATGTAAAATTTAATGATTTTAGTAAGTAAATAGATTTGTGCAATTATCACAACAATCCAGCTTTTTTTAAACATTTCTGTTATGTCCAAAATTTCTCTATTTATAGTTAATTCCCACCGATACCCCAAGCCATAGGCACCCAGTGATCTGCTTTTTGCGTCAATCAATTTACCTCTTTTACATATTTCAAGTAAATGAAATGATACATTATGTAACCTTTTGTGTCCAGTTTCCTTCACTTAGTTAACATTATTTAAGTTCATCAGTTTTGTAGTATGTATCTTCATTTTGTCCCTTTTCTTTTTATTTTCTCTTTTTTATTTGTGTAAATTTATAAAGTCCAAGTGTAGTTTTATTACATGCATAGATTGCATAGTATGTGAAGTCAGTGTTCCACAGTATCCATCACCTAAATCACATGCATTGTACCCGTTAAGCAATCTCTCATCACCTGGAGTGCAAGGGTTGAAACTTGCCTTGGGAAAATTACCCTCATGTTTATGGTATCTCCCCTGCCAGATGAGTCTCGTTTTGTTCCCTTTTACTGTTGAATGATATTGCCTTGCATGAATGTAGTTTATCCATTTTGTTTATCCATTTACTAGTTGAAGGATATTTGGATTGTTTTCAGTTTAGACCTACTATGGCTAACGCTGTTCTGAACACTTGAATGTGTAACTTCGTGAGGACATACGTTTTTATGTCTCTTAGGTAGATTCCAAGGAGTGAAATTGCTGGGTCATATGGCAAACATATGTTAAACTTTTAAAGAAATTGCCAAATTTCCAGGTATTTGTAAAATCATACACTCCCACCAGCAACACATAAGGGCTTAGAAAGTCTGTTTGTCATCAAACATAATTATAATGATGATGATAGTATTAGAAATAACATCTGTCTTGTTAATTTTATATTTTCTCTTGATGTTTCAATTTTTATTCATCCAGGATCCATTTGGTGAAAGAAATGACTTTGGAATACAACTTACCACAAACTGAAACTAAATCTCAACTCCTTCTGGTTCTAATTCTAGACTCTGTTTTACTAGCATATTTAACAAAAAATAAAGAATCAGTAACAAATATATTTTTTTTGTTTTTGAGATGGAGTCTCGCTCTGTCGCCCAGGCTGGTGTGCAGTGGTGAGATCTCGGCTCACTGCAAGCTCCACCTCCCAGGTTCACGCCATTCTCCCACCTCAGCCTCTGGAGTAGCTGGGACTACAGGTGCCCGCCACGATGCCCGGCTAATTTTTTTTTATTTTTAGTACAGACGTGGTTTCACCGTGTTAGCCAGGATGGTCTCGTGATCTGCCCGCCTCGGCCTCCCAAAGTGCTGGGATTACAGGCATGAGCCACTGCGCCAGGCCAACAAATGTGTTTTTTAAAATAAATGTATAGTATGTTTTAGCACCTTATAGAGCTAGTCATTCCTTATTCTACCTTTTTCAAAAATTCCCCCGTTAAAACAACATGTCAGCATACTTAATTGAGTTCTAAAATCAATCCTTTTTCCTGCTTTTTTGTTTTATTCTAATTGAGTTAATGGCAGACATTTAATGCTCGATACATGTGTATTAAAAAAGACCTGAAACGCTGAATGGAGGATGCCTATCAGGAATCTCTAGGCCTTCATGTGGAATTTAACTGCAAATTCTAGCAACCTAAGAGTACCACAATCTATCATTTCCCTACCCTGAAATCAACCTCTCCTACTCCATCCACCATTTCTTTATTTTTAAAAATATATGATTTTGCTCCTTTTCTCCCCATGTGCATCAGGCCCACTCTACAAGGGTTGAATCCTGGCTTGTCTGAGCCCGTGTGATCCCACGGTCATTCCAATGAGAAAGTCGGTACTGTGAATACTCTGGAAACGGTGTAGTTGCTCCTTATAAAGGCACACAGGAAAAAGTAGTATCTTTTTCCTTTCTTTGGTAGTTTTGTGAAAGAATAAGAAACCTAAAGCGGCTGCAGGGATCCTCCGACCATTGCAGGAAAGCTGACATGCTGTGTATGATAGAGAGATGAGTTATGAAGTTCCAGGATCGCTGTTGATGCCACTGGCTTGCTGAGTTGAGCAACCCTGGAGACGCCCACCCTTGTATCTATTGCCTATGTGAGATCATGGGTTAAAGAAAAATAAAGCCCACTAGATGGGATTTCCTGCTGTTCACAACAGAAGCATCTTCATTCAAATATTCATCCCACACATTTTAGTTCCACACCACAAGTCTCATATAAAATAAGACAAATCATCTCCTCAACTTAGGGAACAAGGCCTATTTGTTGCAACTCTGGGATCAAACAGAACAGACATAATTATTAGCTTAATATCTTCCTATAGGATTTATGTTCTTATAGGATTTATAAGTACTTGTACTGATGTGTATGTACAAGTAACATATAACTAATAATAAAATATGCATAAATAAATATTGAATTTGAAAATAAGTTGTCTCTGACAGTAGAGAAATTATGCTCAAATGATTATTACTTTGAAATAGACTTCTGCATTGATTATGTACTTTTTAGTTTTGACATATTTGATACTGACTCTCAGAACACAATGGAGAACCCTCCATCTTCTAAATTTGTCTTTCTCTGAAATCTGTACAAGTCCTTTGGTAATACTATATTACTGAAGTCTCTGGAATGAAAAACCATATACTAATTTACAGTAATAGATACACAATATTGTAGATGGGATTAAGAAAGAGTTCTGGGCCAGATGCAGTGGCTCATGCCTGTAATCTCAGCACTTTGGGAGGCCGAGGCGGGTGGATCATGAGGTCAGGAGATCGAGACCATCCTGGCTAACACGGTGAAACCCCGTCTTTACCAAAAATACAAAAAAATTAGCTGGGCATGGTGGTGGGCGCCTGCAGTCCCAGCTACTCGGGAGGCTGAGGCAGGAGAATGGTGTGAACCCAAGAGGTACAGCTTGCAGTGAGCCAAGATCGCGCCACTGCACTCCAGCCCGGGCGACAGAGCAAGACTCCATCTCAAAAAAAAAAAAAAAAAAAATCTCATGTTGGCCAAGTTTCTTTCAGTTGTTACAGTCTCTTCTCAGTTTTTATGCATTGCCTTTGTAAATGTTAGGTTTACTTTTTTAACCGACAAGTAAAAAATTTATAGTGTATTTATGTTGTAGAGCCAAAGTTTTGATATATCCCTATAGTGTGGAAAGTTTAAATCAAGCTATTAAACATATGCATTACCTCACATACTTATGACATATACACAAAAACCATTATTCTATTGGGAAATAATCTTCCCTTCTTCTTTTCTTTTCCTTTTTTGTTCTTGGAGCCAAATGGACCAGATGATTTTTTTCCACTTTCTTGTTTTTTTTTTTTTTGCTATTATTATACCTTAAGTCCTGGGCTTCATGTGCAGAACGTGCAGGTTTGTTACATAGGTATACATGTTCCATGGTGGTTTGCTGAACCCATCACCCCATAATTTACATTAGGTATTTCTACTAATGCTATCCCTCCCCTAGCCCCCCACCCACTGACAAGCCCCAGTGTGTGGTGTTCCCCTCCCTGTGTCCATGTGTTCTCATTGTTCAACTCCCAGTTATGAGTGAGAACATGCAGTGTGTGGTTTTCTGTCCTTGTGTTAGTTTGCTCAGAATGATGGTTTCCAGCTTCATCCATGTCCCTAAAAAGGACATGAACTCATCCTTTTTTATGCTGCGTAGTATATATGTGCCACATTTTCTTTATCCAGTCTAATATTGGTGGGCATTTGGGTTGGTTCCAAGCCTTTGCTGTTGAGAATAGTGCTGCAATAAACATATGTGTGCATGTATATTTATAGTAGAATGATTTATAATCCTTTGGGTATATACCCAATAATGGGACCACTGGGTCAAATGGTATTTCTAGCTCTAGATCCGTGAGGAATTGCCACACTGTCTTCCACAATGGTTGAACTAATTTACATTCCCACCAACAGTGTAAAAACTTTCCTATTTCTCCACATCCTCTCCAGCATCTGTTGTTTCCCAACTTTTTAATGATCACCATTCTAACTGGTATGAGATGGTATCTCATTGTGGTTTTGGTTTGCTTTTCTCTAATGACCAGTGATGATGAGCTTTTTTTCATATGTTTGTTGGCTGCATAAATGTCTTCTTTTGAGAAGTGTCTGTTCATATCATTCACCCACTTTTTGATGGGTTTTTTTTTTCTTTTCCTTTTTTTTGAGACAGAGTCTCACTCTGTCACCCAGGCTGGAGTGCAGTGGTGTGATCTTGGCTCACTGCAAACTCTGCCTCCCGGGTTCATGCCATTCTCCTGTCTCAGCCTCCTGAGTAGCTGGGACTGCAGGTGCCCACCACCATGCCCGGCTAATTTTTTTGTATTTTTAGTAGAGACGGGGTTTCACTGTGTTAGTCAGGATAGTCTCGACCTCCTGACCTCGTGATCCACCCGCCTCAGCCTCCCAAAGTGCTGGGATTACAGGCGTGAGCCACTGCGCCTGGCCGGGGTTGTTTTTTTCTTGTAAATTTGTTTATTTGTAGATTCTGGATATTAGCCATCTGTCAAATGGATATATTGCAAAATTTTTCTCCCATTCTGTAGGTTGCCTGTTCACTCTGATGATACTTTCTTTTGTTATTCAGAAGCTCTTTAGTTAAATCAGATCACATTTGTCTATTTTGGCTTTTCTTGCCATTTTTTTTTTGTTTTGGTGTTTTATACATGAAGACTTTGCCCATGCCTATGTCCTGAATGATATTGCCTAGGTTTTCTTCTAAGGTTTTTCTGGTTTTAGGTCTTACATTTAAGTCTTTAATCTATCTTGAGTTAATTTTTGTATGAGGTGTAAGAAAGGGATCCAGTTTCAGCTTTCTGCATATGACTAGCCAGTTTTCCCAACATCATTTATTAAATAGGGAATTCTTTTCTCTTGCTTGTTTTTGTCAGGTTTGTCAAAGATCAGATGTTTTTAGATGTAGATGCGTGGCATTATTTCTGAGGCCTCTGTTCTGTCCCATTGGTTTATATATCTGTTTTGGTACCAGCACCATGCTGTTTTTGTTACTATAGCCTTGTAGTATAGTTTGAAGTCAGGTAACGTGATGCCTCTAGCTTTGTTCTTAAGTCCTTTAGGCAGCAAAGAATACCTCATAGATGCTCTTTAACTGTAGGGTGACTCCAAGTACTAAAGATCTCAGCTTCAGCTCCAAGGATTTTTCCCCATAAGGAAGAAAGAGCACTAAGCATAACTTCTGTCAGAGACCTTGCATACATTACAGGGTAAACATTGGAGTTCAGAAAGAAAAGAAAGGAGGTAATGGGGAGGCCACTGGGTCCATTCTCACATATGAGGAAGAGGGGACAATATCACAGGTTCTGTCAAGGGCATAACACAGGATTGTCTAGGAGAGACCCTTTGAATTCCCTTGACTCCCAGAAAATTTTCAGAAAAAAACTCCTTTTGTCTAACATAGGTCAACATAATAAAGGGAAGTGCTGTATGGGGAATTTATTTTAGCATCCTTATTTCTAAATCCTCTGAGGACCCTGAGGACATGTGATGCAAAGGTTTCATTGGTGAAGATTTGAGAAGAAATGACCTGTATGGAGGCCCCTTACACAGTCTCATGGAGAGGGCAAGTAGTCAAGATCCTTTTGTGGAGGAAATAATTTGGGATCCCATGATAAAGATGGGCAATCTCTGAAGAAAATGTCACAATTTTTTAAGGCACCTGGCCTGGGCACAATGTTAACACAACTCCCTATTTTCCCCACCCCATAGTAGCTCAGCACCCACAATGTGCACTTATGTCAGGTGTCCCTAGCCAAAGCCAGTGGGGAGCTCAGCACCGTCAGTGTCACTGTCAGCGCTGCCATGTAGGAACCTCCAGGGAGCTTCAGACACACCATGCTGGAGAACAGGACAGGACCAGGGGCCAGAAGAGCAGGCAAGTCTCACTCAGGGAGAACTATGACCCCCCTCCACCCACATTCCAAATTATAGGGAGGAAGTTACTGATTTCCTTCCTCCTGGGTTGGGTAATCTCGTGTTGGAGAACCAATCAGCATCTGAGTTCAATAGTATCATCAGTTGCTGGTCAGAGATGCTGTATGAAGGTCCTCTTCTGAAACAGAATTTCCTTCTTTAAAGGATTGTTTTAAATTAGTACTTGAAAGATTTGATCCAGTTGCATGTAAAACACTAACTGGGTCCCTATTGTTAGCCAGCTCTGTGCTGGTCAGTGATGTGTTCACAAGTTTGAGCCTTGTAAGAGCATTCATTTCCCACCTGACAAGACAACTGTTTGCAGAAGTGAGTGTGTGAGTGTGTTTAGGAGTAAAGGAGATGGAGGGAACATGGTTGTAAATCGGAGACCTTTAATCTGGTCCTTATTGCACTGTATCTTAATGTTGTAGATTTGGGAAAATTATTTCATGTCTCACAGTTGAAATGAAGACACTGTGATCTTTCAGGTCTTTCAATACTGGAAAATGCTGTGATTCTGCGGACACCTCAAGGAGCAGCAGCCCCGGGTATCTGATAATATGACAGGATGACAGCTATTGACTAGAGAGCTTAATCCGTACCTATTTACAGGTAGGGATGTCTTTAATAAGTTAAAGGAAATTGACAGTTTGTTAATAATTTAATCTGAGTAAAAATATCTTTTTCAAGTATGTCTCCTGATGCTGCCCCCAAGTTTAGTGGCACCTCCAGAACACACACAGGCAAGGGGCTAACAGGGGCCACATGTGTGCAATGGAGGGTCTGAACGTGCCTTTGTACAGCACTTACCCTAAAAATATGATAAGGTCAACTTTGCAATCCAAGTATTCATGGGTTTGAGAGATCAATCGAAGACTCTCAAAGTCAGCTGTTCACAGAACAACTATTTTTTCTTTTTTTTTTGAGACGGAGTCTCGCTCTGTTACCCAGGCTGGAGTGCAGTGGTGTGATCTTGGCTCACTGCAACCTCTGCCCCCTCAGTTCAAATGATTCTCCTGCCTCAGCCTCCTGAGTAACTCTGACTACAGGCACGTGCCACCACGCTTGGTTGATTTTTTGTATTTTTAGTGGAGATGGGGTTTCACTGTGTTAGCCAGGATGGTCTCGATCTCCTGACCTCATGTTCTGCCTGCCTTGGCCTCCCAAACTGCTGGGGTTACAGGCATGAGCCATCGTGCCTGGCCACAATTCTGTTTTAAAATAATTAATATTTTATGTGAAGAGTGTTCAATCCCTCATTCCTGGTTCCGTTATGATTTCCTCATTTGATTGAGGCTATAGCACTTTACTATTATGTTTCTCTTGTTTTATCATAAGGGAAGATAGAAGATGACTTTGCTAACTAATACATTTTAGAATGTTCAGGAAAGAGAACACTAGGGAAAACTATGAATTACATCAGTTGATGTAACCATATAATATTAAACATATACATTTAGATAATTATTATGCTTTTTATTAATATAAATGTAACATCTAAGGTTCAGAATGGACTTCAAAGTACAACTATACTTATAGCGTTCTGCATTAATTCACACGCTACCACATAGGCACTCATTCCTTATGGGCCTTAGTGTTTCCAGGGGCAGGATTCTCACCATGCTGCCATAAAAATGAGCATTTTACTTTATACTCAGAATTGTACTAAGCGCTTTTTATACTTCATGTTTTTATTCCATTCTCACATCAGCTCAGTAAAATAAACACCCTTTTCATGCTTACAGGTAGAGAGAATAAAACAATGGAGATGAAACAACTTTTGCAAAGATACACAGCTAGTAAATGGTACACTATAGATTGAACCAAATTACATACCCCTCAGGCTCAGCCACTATATCATAATCCTTCACATTCTATTTCTGAGAATAATGTCCTATGTATTAAAATTATTTATATTCCTATAATTTATGGATGCACATAGCAATATGGCTACTCATGTTAATGAATGGCAGCAGTATACAATTTGAGGAAGATACTGTGTAGCAATTCTAGTTCCTTCAAAAGAACCCCCTCATTATCATCCTTACCCTCCCCTGGAAATGACAACATTTGCATTTGTCTTATGTGATGACACCCATAGCTCCTGAGAAGTCTCCTTCTTATTAAAGGTAATAGTGACCTCAAAATTCTTAAATAAAAACTATTGCTCAGAATTATTATTTCAGATTTCTCATGATAAAGTAGTAAATTTGATCATCTCAAAATAGAAGAAAAAAGTGCCTCACTTACTTTGGAAAAACATACTTCTATTAATATAGAAAGTTCAAAATTTCACGGGTGAAAGTCACTATTGTCCCTGGATTTGAGAATAAACTATGTCTCTATACCCCAATAATAATTCAATACTATTGGAAGTTGTGAAATTGCAACCAGAATATCACATTTAATTTGGTCAACAGAAAATAATAATTTACTTAGAAACTAATTTAGTCCCAGCTACTCAGGAGGTGGGTAGATTGCTAGAACCTGGAAGGTCCATGCTGCAGTGACCCAAGATCATGTCACTGCATTCCAGCCTGGGTGACAGAGGGAGACCCTGAAAAAATAAAAATAAAAAGGAAAAAAAAAAACAAAAAAGAAAAGAAGGAACAAACTGTGTAAAAAAGAAACTAATTGAGATGTTGGTAATCTAGGAAATCCAGCTAAGGTTCAGCTTAGTATTTGAGGTTAAAAGGGTGGTGATGCTGGCAGTGGCGAGCTGTCCAGAATGGCTGGCTGCAGTGGGAAGTTGCAAGCGGTGGTGGCAGGAACGACTGAGGGATCCGTGGCCATGGTGGGACCCCTGTGCCCCATGTCCCCTGTGCCTTGCGCCCCTGAGGCAGCCAACTGCGCTGCCCCAACCCTTGAGCAGCCGGAGGGACTGCCCCCAGGCCAGGAGCCTCCACGACTCCTGCTTTGCTGCTCTCATCCTGCAGCTGTGGGGAGGGCATGGAGCTAGGGCCAGGCTTGTTGGGCCCGGTTTGGAAGTGGGAGTAGCCCTGCTCTGGGGACCCAGCCAGTGGCATGGTCACTGTCCCACCATGCTGACGAAGCCCAGTTCCTGCACCTCAGGAAGAGGTTCTGCCTGAGGCAGCCCAGGGTTGTGCCCCCAGGGTGGCCACGAAGCCTGATTTTCCCGACGGCCAGGCTTGGGCCTGATCTGCTCCCCACGGTGCCTCCCTCACCCCATCCAGGCAAGGGGGAGCCCCAGGCACCCCTGAGTGGTAGGTGAAGAACTTGCAGACACATCATCCTTGCCCCAGATGCTGGCATGGGCACAGATGAGGGGAGCTGTCCACCCCAGGCTGTGTGAAGGTGTGACAGGGGCTACCTGCAGACTCCAGGGATTGAGTGGGAGTCCTGCCCTCCACGCAGCAGGATACCGGCCTCTCTGCACTCCATGCTCTCAAGGACGTGAAGCACCCCCTGCCCCTGCAGGCTTGCAGGTGTCTGCTCCCACTGCCTGGCTTCTCACCTGGCCTCTCCAGGCCCCCGGGCGCCCACTCTGATCTCAGAGTGGAGTTTGGGGCCAAGCCCCAGTGCTGTTACAGCCTAGCCGGGTGTGTGCATGTTCAGGACAACGTTGATACACCAGCCTCCTGCCACCTCAGCCATGGGGAAGCTGAGGGAAAATGGGCTGAGGGCAACTGGTGCTGGCCTATAGGCCCTTTGCCATGAGCAGCCTAGGTGCCATGGACGGGGTTGGGAGGCAGACAGTCTCCTGGGCAGAAGGGGGCAGGTCCCTGATGAAGCCCCTCCTTCAGGCCAGGGAGGGATTGAAGGCTATGGGTTGGGCTGCCAGTCCTGCAGACAGGAGTGGGAACTTGTGCCTTTTCTGGGCCTGCCCCATGGCCATCCATTCTTCCCCTCTGAGGCCCGTAAAAGCCCTGGGCTCAGGTGGACTTGAGAAGAGGATGGAGAGAGCATAGAGACAGGACAGGGACATGAGGGATGAGTTGCTGAGGAGAGGATTTAACATCCCCAGGGTCTCCTCTCAGCTGCAGAGTGAAGCTGCCCTCACCAGGGTCTCCTCTCTGCTGAGAACTGAGGAGAGGACAGGACAATCAGATGCAGAGAAGAGCTACCCTCTCTGTTGATAGCTGAACAAGTGTTGAGGCAACCTGGCTATGGAGAGGAGTGGCCCACTGCGGCTCTCTGAGCTGTTCTATTGCTTAATAAAGCTCCTCTTTGTCCTGCTAACCCTCTACTTGTCTGCGTACCTCATTCTTCCTGGACGCAGGACAAGAACTGGGAATCTGCCTAATGATGAGGCTAAAAAAGCTGTAACACGAACAGGGTGTAGATGAGCAACAGAGAATGTAGTCAAATGCCTACAAAGATGGAATGAAAAAGCAAAAATAAATCCATATCATTCCATGTAACAAGACCATTTTTTTAAAGTAGTTTTAAGTGGACAGAAAAATTGCAGAGAAAGTTCATGGAGTCCCCACAGCCCTTCTTCCCTAAAGCACCCCTCTGCTCAGTTTCTCCTACTATTAACATCCTGCATCAGTGTGGTACACTTGTTACTACTGATGAAGCAATACTGATACTTGTTGTTAACTGAGATCCATAGTGAAATTAGAGATCATTCTTATTATACAGTTCTATGGGTTCTGATAAATACATAATGTCATATATCCACCATTTAGTGGAAGTGACCCAAGAGTCCCATAGGCAGTTTTTTTTTTAAATAAACATAGAAATGGACACTTGTGGTCTTAAAGCTTGAAACTTACATTTGTTTTATCTGAGTTCCTTTCCAAAAAAAGATTCCCCCAGGGCTCTCAAAAAGTGTCAAAGAACTGGAACTCACCAGATCATCTCATCCAGACAACGAGACTCCAGGTTCCTCATTCATCATGATTGTTCCCTTACCCCCCCCCCCCCAGTTCCTGTTTTCTCATACATAGTTACATTTCTTCCATGCTAGATAAATTCCTAATTTTAGTCAGTCACAGAGATGGATTTGACACTGGTCTCCCATCTCCTCAGCTTCAGCACCTGATTAAAGATTAAAGCCTTCTTCTTTGGCAATACTCATTGTCATCTCAGTGATTGGCTTTCTGTGTGGTGAGCAGCAAGACCCAGACTGAAGCCCTTGTGTGCAAGACCTAGACTGAACCCTGGTGTTTCAGTGACAAAATTATCCTGTGAAGTAGTTTCGCTGACCTAAAATTGTCCCAGGCTCCACCTACTCATGCACTCCTCTTCCGCCTGAATCCCTGGAAACCACTATTTACTGTCACTGTATTTATGCCTTTTCCAGAATGTTATACAGTTGTAATCATATGGTATATAGTTTTTTTCAGACTGGCTTCTTTCACATAACAATATGCATATAGGTTTTCTCCTGTCTTTTCCTAGCTGGATAGCTTATTTCTCTTTAATGTTGAATAACAACCCATGGTATGGATCTACCACAATTTGTTTATCCACTCACTTACTGGAGAACATCTTCGTTGCTTTGAATTTTTGGCAATTATAAAGAAAGCTGCTATAAACATTCGTGTATACTTGTTTGTGTGGACAGAAGTTTTCCACTTATTTGGGCAAATACTTAGGATTGCAATTGCTGAATCTTATGGTAGAGTATGTTTCGCTTTGTAAGAAACAGCCAGAGTGTCTTCCAGATAAGCCAGTAGAATAGGGTCTGGAGGCAGGGAACCTAAGGCCATTTCATGTCGACTCCCGAATGGAACTAAATTGAGAGGAAAACTCAAACTTTCTATGCCTAAGTAGCAAAAGGACCAGAGACTACTCCCTTTGTAACACACCCCCTTTACTGCTTGACAAATGGGAAATTGAGAGTACCTCTGATTGGTTGTTTTTTTGCAACCAATCAGATGTTTGCATAGGAGTGTAGCTTTGTAACTTCATTTCGGCCTTGGATCGGTTGTGGAATTGTTTTCCTCAAAATTTCTACAGCCTAGTGATAAAAATCCTAGAAAAGCAAAATAAGCACAAACCAAGGTGGCATAACCTTGTAAAACTTAATGAATAAATAAGTTTCTTTACCTATGGTTTAGAGAAAGCAGACTCTTGAGAATGTTGCAAATAGAATTAAGTGTTTGCTAACATATCTACAATTTTAATATAAAACAAATAGGTGAACAATAGAGAATACACTCAAACTCAGACAAGTATGGAATGAAAAGCAAAAGTAAGTCCATATCCTCCCATATAACAAGACCATTTTTAAAGCAGTTTCAAGTGTATGAAAAACTTCCAGAGAAAGTTTAGGGAGTTCCCACATATCTCCTTCCCTAAAATGGCCCTCTGTTCAGTTTCTTTTATTATTAACATCCATACAACTAATACCTCTACTTACAGGGTTAGGAATGGCTACTGCTACAGGAAGCAGAATAGCCAGTTTATCTACTTCATTATCCTACTACCACACACTCTCAAAGGATTTCTCAGGCAGTTTGCAGTAATAACATAATCTATCCTTACTCTACAATCCCAAATAGACTCTTTGGCAGCAGTGACTCTTCAAAACCGCCGAGGCCTAGACCTCCTCACTGCTGAGAAAGAAGGACTCTGCATCTTCTTAGGGGAAGAGTGTTGTTTTTACACTAACCAGTCAGGGATAGTATGAGATGCCGCCCAGCGTTTACAGGAAAAGGCTTCTGAAATCAGACAATGCCTTTCAAACTCTTATACCAAACTCTGGAGTTGGGCGACATGGCTTCTCCCCTTTCTAGGTCCTGTGACAGCCATCTTACTATTACTCGCCTTTGGGCCCTGTAGTTTTAACCTCCTTGTCAAATTTGTTTACTCTAGGATCAAGGCCAACAAGCTACAGATGGTCTTACAAAGGGAACCCCAAATGAGCTCAGCTAACAACTTCTACCAAGGACCCCTGAAATGAGTCACTGACCCTTTTACTGGCCTAAAGAGCTTCTCTCTGGAGGACACTACAACTGCAAGGCCCCTTCTTCACCCCTATCCAGCAGGAAGTAGCTAGAGTGGTCATTGCCCAATTCCCAACAGCAGTTGCCATGTCCTGTTTAGAGCGGGGATTGAGAGGTGAAGTCAGCTGGGCTTCTGGGTCAGGTGGGGACTTGGAGAACTTTTCTGTTTAGCTAGAGGATTATAAATGCATCAATCAGCACTCTGTGTCTAGCTAAAGGACTGTAAATGCACCAATCAGCACTGTGTAAAAATGCACCAATCAGTGCTCTGTGTCTAGCTAAATGATTGTAAATGCACCAATCAACACTCTGTAAAATGGACCAATCAGCACGCTGTAAAATGGACTAATCAGTAGGATGCGGGCAGGGCCAAATAAGGAAATAAAAGCTGGCCACCCAAGCCGGCAGTGGCAACTGGCTCAGGTCCACTTCCACGCTGTGGAAGCTTTGTTCTTTCACTCTTCACAATAAATCTTGCTGCCGCTTACTCTTTGGGTTCAGACTACCTTTATGAGCTGTAATACTCACCCTGAGGGTCTGCGGCTTCATTCCTGAAGGCAGCAAGACCACGAACCCATCGGGAGGAACAAACAGCTCCAGACGTGCCACCTTTAAGAGCTGTAACGCTCACTGCGAAAGTCTGCAGCTTCACTCCTGAAGTCAGCGAGACTACGAATCCACCAGAAGGAAGAAACTCCGGACACATCTGAACATCTGAAGGAACAAACTCTGGACACACCATCTTTAAGAGCTGTAACATTCACCGCGAAGGTCTGTGGCTTCATTCTTGAAGTCAGCGAGACCAAGAACCCACCGGAAGGAATAAATTCCGGACACAGAAGGACTGTCCCATTTTACATTCTCACCATCAGTGTATGAGAAATTCAATTTTTCTGCATTCTCACCAGCATTTACCATTGTCAGATTTTTTAGAGATTTTAGCTGTATTAGGAGTTGTATAGTGCTATTATACCAAGTTCTTAATTTGCATTTCCCTGATGGCTACTGATTTGCATGTCATTCATTGCGCTTATTTGCCATGTATATATATCCTCTTTGATAAAATGTCTCTTCATATCTTTTGCCCATTTTGTAATTAACAATTTTTTTTTTTGAGACAGAGTCTCGCTCTGCCACCCAGACTGGAGTGCAGTGGCACAATCTCAGCTCACTGCAAACTCTGCATCCCAGGTTCATGCCATTCTCCTGCCTCAGCCTCCTGAGTAGCTGGGACTACAGGCGCCTGCCACAACACCCGGCTAATTTTTTTTTTTTTTGCATTTTTAGTAGAGACGGGGTTTCACCATGTTAGCCAGGATGGTCTCCATCTCCTGACCTCGTGATCCGCCCACCTCGGCCTCCCAGAGTGCTGGGATTACAGGAGTGAGCCACCATGCCCGGCCATAATTAAATTTTATAGTCTGCACTCTACTATATATTTTATAGAAGAGCTTTTATAGTTCATTACATATTTTCAACAATGTATTCTTGGTAATATATGTGGTTTTAAATATTTTCTCCATATCTCTAACTTACTTTTTATTTCTTAACAGGATACTTTACAGAAGAAACCTTATTTATTGATTTTTTTTGTTTTTGTTTTTGTCTTTTTGTTTTTTACACATAGTGCTTTTGATGTCGTGTCTAAGAACTCAGAACTCAGACAGCAGGCCCTAGCTTCTGATGATGTTTCTTATGTTTTCTTCTAAACGTTTTACATGTAGACATGATTTAATTGGGATAAATGTTTTCATAAGGTCTGAGAATTTGTTAAGTTTCTTTCTTGCTTCTTTTTCCTTTTGCTTCTTTTTTGTTTTTGTCTATGAATTTCCACTTTCTCCTGGACCATTGTTTGAAAAGACTATAGCCTATATTACCTCCATTGAATTATTTTGCATCTTTGTCAAAATGAGTTCGTATAGGTGTATTTCTGGATTCTCTATGCTGCTCCACTAATCTATGTCTATCCCTGCACTAATGTCAATCAGTATTGATTACTATAGCTATAAAAATTCTGAAATTTGGTAAGAGTTCCTTCATCTCTTTTTCCCTATGAAATTTGTTTTACCTATACTAGTTCCCTTGGTTCTCCATATGCATTTTAGAATAACTTTGTCTACAACTATTACAAATCTTGCTGGAATTTAGAGAGAAATTGTGTTAAACCTGGACATCAAAGTGGGGAGAATTGACGTCTTTACTATATTTAGTTTTCTAGTTGATGAACACAGTAAATCTCTTCATTTCTTCAGATTTTTTTATTTCTTTTTCTTTTTATACTTTAAGTTTTAGGGTACATGTGCACATTGTGCAGGTTAGTTACATATGTATACATGTGCCATGCTGGTGCGCTGCACCCACTAACTGGTCATCTAGCATTAGGTATATCTCCCAATGCTACCCCGCCCCCCTCCCCCCGCCCCACAACAGTCCCCAGAGTGTGATATTCCCCTTCCTGTGTCCATGTGATCTCATTGTTCAATTCCCACCTATGAGTGAGAATATGCGGTGTTTGGTTTTTTGTTCTTGCGATAGTTTACTGAGAATGATGATTTCCAATTTCATCCATGTCCCTACAAAGGACGTGAACTCATCATTTTTTATGGCTCAGCATTTCAGCATATGGATTGTGTACATGTTCTGTTGGTATACTTATGAGGTTTTTTGAATGGAAATAATTCATGTTGTATTTTTAGTATTTGTTTTGATTTCTTTATTACTGTATATTCAAATAAAATTAATTTTTTTGTTGATCTTGAATTCTGTGACCTTGTGAATTTCCTTAGTAGCTGAAACAGAAGAGGAAAAGCATTCAGACTTCCACTATTAAGTGTAATTTAGCCGCAACATTTTTGTATAAGTTATTTATCCAGTTGAGGAGGTCATCCTCAGTTCCTACTATTTTGAGGGGCTTTTATAAATCATAAATTAATGTAGAATTATGTCAAAGGCCTTCTCTACATCAACTGATAGAACCATGCGATGTTTCTTCTTTAGCTTCTTTTTTTTTTTTTTTTTTTTTTTTTTTTGAGACGGAGTCTCGCTCTGTCGCCCAGGCTGGAGTGCAGTGGCGGGATCTCGGCTCACTGCAAGCTCCGCCTCCCGGGTTCACGCCATTCTCCTGCCTCAGCCTCCCAAGTAGCTGGGACTACAGGCGCCCGCCACTACGCCCGGCTAATTTTTTGTATTTTTAGTAGAGACGGGGTTTCACCGTTTTAGCTGGGATGGTCTCGATCTCCTGACCTCGTGATCCGCCCGCCTCGGCCTCCCAAAGTGCTGGGATTACAGGCGTGAGCCACCGCGCCCGGCCTCTTTAGCTTCTTAATAAGATGGATGACATTGATTGATTTCAAACATTAAACCAGACTTGCATCCCTAAAATAAACGCTACTTGGCATAGTTTACATATATTTTTAGTTTGGCTGATTTTTTACTTGCTAACATTTTGTTAGGGAGTTTTGCATGTATAGTCATGCAGGTATATTGCTTTTTAATTTTCTTTTGCTGTACTATTTTTGTGTGCTTTTGATTTTAGGAAATGCTGGCCTCATAAAGTAAGTTGGGATGTCTTCCCCTCTCTTCTGCTTTCTGGAGGAAACTTTGCAGAGTTGTGTTAATTCTACTGAAATGTTTGGTAGATTTCTCCTGTGAAACTATTCTAACCTAGAGATTTCTCCTGTAAGTTCAACTCTTTTTATAATTATAGAGCTTTTCAATGTATCTATTTCATATTGAGTTAGTTGTAATAGTGTGTATTTGTGTACTTTTAAAGGATTCTTTTCCATTTCACCTAAGTGTTCTTGGTGTATTCCTTTGGTGTACTATTGATGTCAAAGAATCTGTAGTGATATAATGTTTCCACCCCAATATTGGTGTTTTTTCTTTCTCCTTTTTCCTTTTATTTTGTCCTAGAAATTTGTCAGTTCTATTAATATTTTTAAAGAACAAACTTTTTTTCCCACTGATTTTCTCTCTCTCTCTCTCTCTTTTTTTTTTTTTCTTTTTGAGTTGGAGTTTTTGCTCTTGTTGCCCAGGCTGGAGGGCAATGGCGCGATCTCGGCTCACTGCAACCCCCGCCTCCCAGGTTCAAGTGATTCTCCTGCCTCAGCCTCCCGAGTAGCTGGGATTACAGGAATGCGCCACCATGCTCGGCTAATTTTGTATTTTTAGTAGAGATGGGGTTTCTCCGTGTTGGTCAGGCTCAAACTCCCGACCTCAGGTGATCCGCCCGCTTCAGCCTTGCAAAGTGCTGGGATTACAGGCATGAGCCATTGAGTTCTGCCTTTATATTAGTTTTTTTTTTCCTTCTTCTTCTTGCTTTAGGTTATTTTTGACAACTTTTCTAGATTTTTGAGGTGGGAACTGAGATTACTGGTTTCTGAAGTTTTCTCTTTTTCAGTGTATACATTTTGTACTACGCATAGTACTTCAAAGCACGCCTTTAGCTATGTGCCAAACATTTTGATATGTTGTATTTTCATTATCAGTTAGTTGAACATACTTTTTATTTTCCTTAAGACATCTTTTTTTTTGAGACGGAGTCTTGCACTGTCGCCCAGGCTGGAGTGTAGTGGCGTGATCTCAGCTCACTGCAAGCTCTGCCTTCCAGGTTTACTCCATTCTCCTGCCTCAGCCTCCCGAGTAGCTGGGACTACAGGTGCCCGCCACCACGCCCAGCTAATTTTTTTTGTATTTTTAGTAGAGACGGGGTTTCACCGTGTTAGCCAGGATGGTCTCAATCTCCTGACTTCGTGATCCGCCTGCCTCGGCCTCCCAAAGTGCTGGAATTACAGGCGTGAGCCACCGTGTGGCATCTCTGGCTGGAGTGCAGTGGCGCGATGTCAGACAAGCTCTGCCTTCCGGGTTCAAGTGATTCTCCTGCCTCAGCCTCCCGAATAGCTGGGACTACAGGCGCCTGCCACCACGCCCGCTATTTTTTTGTATTTTTAGTAGAGACGGGGTTTCACCATATTGGCCAGGATGGTCTCGATCTCTTGACCTCGTGATCCACCCACTTCGGCCTCCCAAAGTTCTGGGATTACAGGCGTGAGCCACCTCACCAGGCCTTTTTTTTTTTTTTTTTTTTTTTTTTTTTTTGAGACGGAGTCTCACTCTGTCATCCATGCTGGAGTGCCAAGACATCTTTTTTGATCCAAGGGTAATTTAAAAGTATGTTACTAAGTTTCCATGTGTTTGGAGTTATACTGATTTTCTTCATGTTACTGATTTCTGGTTCAGCTCCGTTGTTTCCAGGGAGCACAGTCTGTATGATTTCAATTCTTTACATTTGTTGAGGTTCCTTTTATGGTCCAGGGTATGAGAGATGTTGGTAAATATTCCATGGAGAGTTAAAAAATGTGTATTCTTCTGTTTGGTGTGGTGGTCTGCAAATGTCCATTAGATCTTATTGGTGGATAGTTTTGTTGGGTTTCATTATCTTGCTGAGTTTTTGTCCAGTTGTTTTATTAACTTTTCAGAGTTGGTTTGTGGAGTCCCAAAGTTTAACTGTGTATTTGTATATTTCTCCTTCCAGTTCTGACCGTTTTTTGCTCTACTTATAAGTAACTTAGTTGTGTGGTGTACACACTTTTAGAGTTGCTATGTCTTCTTCCTGAATTAACATTTTTATGATTATGTAGTGTTTCCATTTGTCTCTCAGAATATTCTTTGCTCTGTGCATTTTATGTTATCTGATATTATAGCCATTTCTGCTTTCTTTGACAACAGTTAGTATGGTTTATTTTTTTCCATTCTTCTGTTTCAGCCTTCCACTCTTGTAATATTTGCAGTAAGTTTCTCATAGGTAGCATATCGATGGGTAATTATTTTTCACTCTGACATTTTGTCTTTTTAGACAATTTAATGTAATGCAATTATTAATATGTGAGCTCTCATGACTGCCATTTGCTTTTTGTTTCCTCTGGTTTTTGCTTCTCTGTTTTCTTGCCCTGTTTTTTGATGTGTCCCTTAAGCAATATTTAGAATTCCATTTTTTAATCAATCATTTTTTGGTGTATCTCATTGTAGAGTTTTTGTGATTTATCTATTAACGTAACTTATAGTCTACTTGTGCTGAGATTTTTTTCAATTTGACTGCAGTGTAAAAACTTTACCTTTTTATCCCTTTTGCTCCTGCATTTATAATATATATTTTTTATTTTCTCTACTTGCAGATGTGACAATGTTGTAATTTTTGCCTCAACCATCAAACTAATTTATAAAACTGAAGAAGAGAAGTCTGTTGTATTGACCCATATTTTTACTCATTCTATAGTTTCTTTTTTTCCTGATTGTCCAAGATTTCTTCCCTTATCATTTCTATTCCAGTTCAAGCACTTCCTTTACCCTTGTTTTAGGATAAGTCTGCTAGCATCAAATTCTCTTGATTTTCCTTCCTCTAAGAATGTCATGGCCGGGCACGGTGGCTCACACCTGTAATCCCAGCACTTTTGAAGGCCAAGGCAGGCGCATCCCCTAAGCTCAGGAGTTTGAGACCAGCTTGGGCATCATGGCAAAACCTTGTCTCTGCCAAAAATACAAAAAGTTAGCCAGGCTTGGTGGTGTGTGTCTGTAATTCCAGCTACTCAGGAGGCAGAGGTGTGAGGATCACATGAGCCTGAGAGGCAGAGGCTGCAGTGAGCCATGGTTGTGCCACTGCCCTCCAGCTTGGGTGACAGAGCAAGACTCCATCTAAAAAACAAAAAAAAAGAAAAGAAAAAAAAGAATGTCATGATAGAACCTTCATTTTATAATAATATTTTTCTGGATATACATTCTAGGTTAACATTACTTTCAGCCATTAAAATATCTTGTGGCACTTCTGTCTGGTCTGCATGATTTCTAATGAGGAATACACTGTCCTTTATTTTCTCCTGTACATGAGATGTCATTTCTCTCTTGTTGCTATCAAGATTTTTTGACATAAATTTCTTTGGATTCATCTTCCTTTAGATTTGCACAGATTCTTGAATTTTTACTTTAAAGTCTTTATCCAAATTTGGAAAATAGTCAATCTTCCTTCAAAGACTCTTTGGGCATCACCCATTTGTCATCTTTCTCTAAGACTCTAGTGACACAAATTTCATATCTTTTGTTATAGTCTTACAGATTTATCATCATGAAATAATACTGAATATTATGAATAACTTTACAAAAACAAATTTGCATGTAATTAATAAATTACTCAAAATGTGCAATGTACTGAAGCTAACAAATAACATAAAGTATGAAGAGTTCCACATCTCATAGAGAAAGCCCATTCTATAAAGCTTACCCAAGACGAAACCCCAGGTTCATTTAGCTTCAGTAAATATTTTAAAATATTTAAGGAACAAACAACACTAACTTTATGCAAACTTCAAACATTTGAAAAAGCGGAAAACACTTGCAGTTTGGTTTGATGAGATCTGTGTAAAATTTACTTCAAGATCTGAAAAGAACTCTACAACAGATAGGAATTTATGGACCAATAATTCTTATGAGCCAAGTTCTTAAGAAAATAATAGCCAACTGAATTCATTGATATAAAAGATGGCTACTACATCATGACCAAGTGGAGTTTATTCCAGAAATGCAAGGTTGTTTGAGCATTTGAGAATCCATTAGTGTGATTCACGACATTAACTGAAGGAAGGAGAATACACATGCAACCACCTGGATAGAGTCTTGAAATATGATTTGACAGAATTCAGCACTTGGCCTTAATTTTTTAAAAATCTATTTGCAAACTCGTATTAAAAAGTTATTTCTTCAGTCTGAGAAATGATAGCTACCTTATTGCACATATTAGTCTCAGCAGTGAAATATTTAAAACTGTCTCCTTCATATCTGGAGTACTAGAGGAGTTAGGCAATGAAAACGGCAAGAAAAATAAATAAAAGAGATGATAATTGCATCCAGGTGAAATGGTCATTATTTACTCTCAACATAATCAGCTACTTAGAAAATAAAATTAGTAAACAAACTCATAGTTTTAATAAGTGAATTTAAATACTGTTGCTGATTACGAAGTCAGTATACATTAAAGCAATTATGTTATTGATATAGTTTGGATGTATGTCCCGTCCAAATCTCGTGTTGAAACATAGCCTCCAGTGTTGGAGGTGAGGCCTGGCGAGAGATATTTTGGTGGGCGGCAGATCCTTCATCGATGGCTTGGTGCCATCTTAGCTGTAATGTGTGAGTTCTCACTCAGTTCACAGGAGATCTGGTTGTTTAAAAGAGTGCGACTCTTCCCCACTTTCTCTGTGCTCCTGCTCTCACCATGTGATACCTGGGCTCCCCTTTCCTTCCCCCATGATTGTTAGCTTCCTGAGGCCCTCACCAGAAACAATTGCCAGCACCACACCTCCTGTACAGCCTGCAAAACCCTGAGCCAGTTAAACCTCTTTTCTTTATGAATTACCCAGCCTCAGGTATTTCTTTTTAGCAATGTAAGAATGGACTAACACAATAATGTTCTACCATAAACAAATAGAAAACAAAACCAAGAAAATAATTTTATCAATTTCCTCACCTCTTTGTTTTTTTGTTGTGGTTGTTTTTTGTTTTTGAGACAGAGTCTTGCTCTGTCTCCCAGGCTGGGGTGCAATGGTGTGATCTTGGCTCCCCATAGCCACCGCCTCCCGCTCACAAGCGATTCTCCTGCCTCAGCCTCTTGAGTAGCTGGGATTACAGGCATGCACCACCACGTCCGGCTAATTTTTGTATTTTTAGTAGAGGCAGGGTTTCACTATGTTGGCCAGGCTGGTCTTGAACTCTTGACCACGTGATCTGCCCACCTCAGCCTCCCAAAGTGCTGGTACTACAGGCGTGAGCCACCATGCACAGCCCTGTTTTTTTTTTTTTTTTTTAGGCTGAGTCTCACTCTGTTGCCCAGGCTGGAGTGCAGTGGTGCGATCTCGGCTCACTGCAATCTCCACCTCCCGGGTTCATGCCATTCTCTGCCTCAGCCTCCCAAGTAGCTAGGATTACAGGCACCTGCCACCATGCCCTGCTAATGTTTTTGTATTTTTAGTAGAGACGGGGTTTCACCATCTTGGCCAGGCTGGTCTTCAACTCCTGACCTCGTGATCCACCCGCCTTGGCCTCCCAAAGTTCTGGGATTACAGACGTGAGCCACCACACCCAGCCACAATGTCTTATTTTTAAAAAAAGAATTATTTTAACAGGTTTACTGAAGCATACTTTACATACTGCAAAATTTACTCATTGTATATATAAAATTTAATGATTTTAGTAAATTAATGGATTTGTGCAATTATTACAACAATCCAGTTTTATAACATTTCTATCATATCCAAAATTTCTGTTTATAGTTAATTCCCACCGATACCCCAAGTCCTAGGCACCCAATGATCTGCTGTTTGTGTCTATAATTTACCTCTTCTAGGTATTTTAAGTAAAGGAAATCATACAACATGTAATCTTTTGTGTCCAGTTTCCTTCACTTAGTTAACATTATTGAAGTTCACCAGTTTTGTAGTATGTATCATCAATTTTGTTTCTTTTCTTTTCATTCCTTTTTATTCATGTTATCTTCTTTCATTTGTGTAAATTTATAAGGTACAAGTGTAGTTTTGTTACCTGCATAGATTGCATAGTGGTGAAGTCGGTGTTTCTGCAGTATCCATCACCCAATTCACATGCATTGTACCCATTAAGTAATCTCTCATCATCCGCAGTGCAAGCGTTGAAACTTGCCTTGGGAAAACTATCCTCATGTTCATGGTATCTCCCCTGTCAGATAAGTCTATTTTTGTCCCCTTTTATTGTTGAATGATACTGCCTTGCATGGACGTAGTACCATTTTGTTTATCCATTTACTAGTTGAAGGATATTTGGATTGTTTTCAGTATGGGCCTACTATGGCTAATGCTGTTCTGAACACTCAAACACATATCTTTGTGAGGACATATGTTTTTATGTCTCTTAGGTAGATTCCAAGGAGTGAAACTGCTGGGTCATATGGTAAACGTATGTTAAACTTTTTAGGAAATTGCCAATTTCCAGGTATTTGTAAAATTATACACTCCCACCAGCACTACATAAGGGTTTAGAAAGTCCGTTTGTCTTCAAACATAATTATAATGTTGATGATACTATTAGAAATAACATCTGTCAGCTAAACACGGTGGCTCATGCCTGTGGTCCCAGCACTTTGGGAGGCCAAAGCAGGCAGATCACGAGGTCAGGAGTTCGAGACCAGCCTGCCCAACACAGTGAAACCCTGTCTCTGCTAAAAACGTAAAAATTAGCCAGGCACAGTGGCATGCACCTGTAGTCGCAGCTACTCGGTAGGGTGAGGCAGGAGAATCGCTTGAACCCAGGAGTCGAAGGTTGTGCGGAGCAGGGAATACACCACTGCACTTCAGCCTGGACAACAGAGCGAGACCCCGTCTCAAAAAAGAAAAATAAATAAATAACATCTGTCTTGTTAATTTTATATTTTCTCTTTATGTTTCAATTTTTATTTATCCAGCATCTATTTAGTGAAAAAAATGAGTTTGGAATACAACTTACCAAAAACTGAAACTAAATCTCAACTCTTTCTAAATTCTAGACTCTGTTTTACTAGTATTTAATGAAAAAGAAAATCAGTAACAAATGCCTTTTTAAAAATAAATGTATAGTGTGTTTTAAAACAGCACCTTATAGAGCTAGTCATTCCTTATTCTGCTTTTTTTCAAAAATTTCCCTAGAAAATATATTTACCTCATAAAATAACATGTCAGCATACTTGAGTTCTAAAAACAATCCTTTTTACTTGCTTTTTTGTTTTATTGTAATTGAGTTAATGGCTGACATTTAATACTCAATGTATGTATATTATATATATTTATGTTTTTAAAATATATATATTTAA
The DNA here is from genome assembly GCF_000001405.40 of Homo sapiens. Classification (NCBI taxonomy): domain Eukaryota; kingdom Metazoa; phylum Chordata; class Mammalia; order Primates; family Hominidae; genus Homo; species Homo sapiens. The sequence goes on from NT_167246.2 coordinate 3,838,912, forward strand.
ATATATGTATAATAAATAGATATGTATTTAAAAAGACCCAGAAACCCTGAATTGAGGATGCCTATTGGGAATCTCTAGGCCTTCATGTGGAATTTAACTACAAATACTAACAACCTAATAATACCACAATCTTTCATTTTCCTACCCTGAAATCAATCTCTCCTACTCCATCCACCATTTCTTTATTTTAAAAATATATGATTTTGCTCCTTTTCTTCCCATGTGCATCAGGCCCACTCTACAAAGGTTGAATCCTGGCTTGTCTGAGCCCATGTGATCCCACGGTCATTCCATTGTTTGAGTAAGTGGGTACTGGGAACACTCTAGAAACTGTTTAGTTGATTCTTATAAAGACACACAGGAAAAAGTCATATCCTTTTCCTGCCTTTGGGAGTTGTGAAAGAATAAGAAACCTAAAGCTGCTGCAGGGGTCCTCCTACCATCTCAGGAAAGCTGACGTGCTGTGTGTGATAGAGAGATGAGCTATGAAGTTCCAGGATCGCTGGTGATGACACTGGCCTGCTGAGTTGAGCAACCCTGGAGACGCCCAGCCTCGGATCTATCGGCTATGTGAGATAATGGGTTAAAGAAAAGAAAAGCCCACTAGATGGGATTTCCTGCTATTTGCAGCAGAAGGCATCTTCATTCAAATATTCATCCCACACATTTTAGTTCTACCTTAGAATTCCACACCACAAGTCTCATATAAAATGAGACAAATCATTTCCTCAACTTAAGGAACAAAGCGTATTTGTTGCAACTCTGGGATCAAACAGAATAGACATAATTATCAGCTTAATATAATCCTATAGGATTTATATTCTTATAGGATATATACATACATGTACTGCTATGTATGTACAATAATACATAACTAAAAACAAAATATGCATAAAATAAACATTGAATTTGATTGAAAATAAAATAACAGTTGTCTCTGACAGATAAATTACGTTCAAATGATTATTACTTTGAAGTAAACTTTTGAATTCATTATGTACTTTCAGATTTGACATATTTGATGCTGACTCTCAGAACACAATGGAGAACCCTCTATCTTCTAAATTTGTCTTTCTCTGAAATCTGTACAGGTCCTTTGGTAATACTATATAATTGAAGTCTCTGGAATGAAAAACCATATACTAATTTAAAGGTACAGATTCACAATATTGTAGACGGGGTTAAGAAAAAGTTCTGATTGACTTGCTGGCTGGTTTCTCATCTCATGTTTGCCAAGTTTGTTTCAGTTGTTATAGTCTGTTCTCAATTTTTATACATTGCCTTTTTGAATGTTAGGTTTACTTTTTTAATTGACAAGTAAAAATTGTATAGTATATTTATGTTGTAGAGCATGAGGTTTTGATATATGCCTATAGTGTGGAATGTCTAAATCAAGCTATTTAACATGCATTTACCTCATATACTTATTATATATACATGAAAACCATTATTCTATTGGGAAATAATCTTCCCTTTTTCTTATTTTTTGTCCTTGCAGCCAAATGGACCAGATAATTTTTAACTCCATGTTTGAGAAACATTTAATAATGCAATGTGTGGCACAAGGGGGGTACAGATGCATGGGAGGCAGGACAGTTTAGGTAAAGGGAAGCACAAAAGTTGAAGATGAGGCACTGCCATCAAAGCTGTGAGGCTTCAGGCCAAGAACAGGAGCTAAGGAAGCCACAAGGGAGGACATTTTCTGCAGAGTTGCTGAACCAGTAACAACCTGGTCCTGACAAAGCTCTTGTGGAAGAATAAGAGCCAAGTGGGAAAGCTTTTCATCTTGCAAAGCTGGGGCAGAAGGTTCTTCCTTGAATGTGGTCATCTGCACTTCAGCTCAAGAGTCCTGCAGAGACAGAGGAAATTGTTTTCAGACCTGGCTTTACTAAAACTTCTTTTCCCCGCTTTCAACGACTCAGATGAGAGCACTGCAGGGAGAAGAAAAACAAGTTCCTAAGTCTCCCTGAGCCAATGATCCTGCAAAGCACAGGCCTTTTCTAAGTGGAGAGGAGGAGTTCTGGGGTAAATTGCCTGATCAGAAATCTGGATCCAAAGTCTTTCCTATTATTTCTGTCTCATGCCTTATGACCTCTGCCATCATTCTAGGGAAACTGAATCTCTTTCTGAAAGAGGATTAAAAGGTATTACCTGTTGGCTGAAGTCCAGAGTGTCCTGGGAAAAAGAGGAAAAGATATACACTTAAAAGATATGGAAGCAAATCTGTCTTCTAACACAATGTCCCAGCCCCAGATCTCCCACCTGAGATTTCTCTAACACCACAACCCACACCAACCAGGGCAGAGAGGAACAGAAACAGACCATGTGACCCATGAAGCATGAGGTGTCTGTCACAGGATCCAGCGTAATTGCATTAGCCTTAGTGGCTCTTCCTTAATTTGCTCCAGGATCTCCAACCAAAGAATCCCTACTTGTTAACCTTTCTCTTATCTCTGCAGGCCACAAGCTATTATGCTTTGACATAGTAACCATGCACTGATGATTTCTGGATTATCAGGACATTGGAGGTCATTTGGGGAAAGAAAGGCTTTATCCAGGGCCACTGATATACTGAGAACTAACCCTAGCAAAGTCATAGTTCCTCCTCCAGAAAAGCCTATGGAGATTCAGCTCCCAAAAGCTCCTCACCTTTCTGATTCCTGAAGTAGATGAACAGCCCTGTCCCAAGGAAGAGCAGGCCCAGCACAAAGCCCCCGACTCCACTCAGCATCTTGCTCTGTGCAGATTCAGACCGTGCACCTGAGAGAGGAAGCCAGGTTTAGTGTTTATTCCAAATTGAACCTCTGTAATTGAGACCCTAAGATTCAGAGCTTTCAAAATGGGAAAGAAGGCTGCCCTGTAAGAACTAAAATAACTAGCCATTTCTGGGGGAAAAAACGGTTTTCAAATCACACTGTAACAGTTACAAGGTCCAGGCATCAAACTCATTTCAAATATTACAGCCTTGATGTAAGGCGCAACTTCAAAATCTGATCAACAGAAAGCCTGAGTCTCAGTGAGGTTAAGTAGTTTGTCTAGAGTGACAGAGCTAATAAAAGGCAGAGCTGAGATTGGACTCCCCTCATGTCAGGAAGGCCCCTAGAGTTCTCCTCTTCTCACAACAAACAACTCAGATCAACAGCACCAGAAACGCAGTCTCAGACCCAGAGGCAGGGCCTGGAGCCTGGGGAGAGTGGGTGACCCTGAACTGGGACATCATGGGGAGGTTCAAAAGAGGGACAGCCTCTCCTGCCTGGCAGGCGTGACTGATTCCCCAGGGGGTACAGGTGTTTCTAGAAACACCTACAGGGCTACCCCCAGTAGCCCAGTGACCTGTGCTGATGGAGATGAGAACATGGAGCAAATGAAAATAGGATGTGGGAGAGGAGAAACCTGACACTCAGGGATTAGCACAGTCCCCTTCTTGGTGGGTGAGAAATTTAGGAAGTCAGAAAGCTGCTAACTCCATTGCACCGTGAGAGGGCTCATCATGCTTGGATGCTCCACTTGGCAGGTGTAAACCTCTCCACTCCGAGGAACTGTTTCCAGCATCACCAGGGTCTGGAAGGTCCAGTCTCCATTCTGGATCAGGCCTGTGGACACCACCCCAGCCTTCTCTTCCTGGCTGTTCCGGAACCACCTGACTTCAATGCTGCCTGGATAGAAACCATTCACAGAGCAGACCAGGAGGTTGTGGTGCTGCAGGGGCTGGGTCTTTGAAGGATACACAGTCACCTTAGGTTGGACTAGGAGAAAAAAAAGGTAGTGGGAATGAGTCATGAAGACAGAGTAAGTCTCCTTGTTTGGCTGTTTGTCTGCTTCTCTGCAAACCCAGGCTCTGACCTTGACCAGGCCTCCAGCACAGCTGGCCATGTGGCCTTACAGTGTCATCAGCCTGGAATTTAATCTTGATAGTGAGGACCCATTAGATTTGAGAGATGTTGTGAAAAATTGTGTTTGTTTCTTCATAGATTGAAATTGGCATGCATTGTCAAAGTGTTTACAAATCTTTGACAGTAGAGTGTAGTAATTAAAACTGATATCTGAGCCATGTTGCCTGGTTGAAATCCAAGGTCTGCCTTTTACTGGTTGATGCTGGAAGAGTTTTTTGATTCTTCTGTGTCTCAACTTTGTCACCTACAATGAAGGATAATTATACTAATTTACCTCTTGGGGTTATATGAGGATTAATGCACGTAAAATATATAAAACAATGACTGAAGATAGCCTTCAATTTATGAGGTTAGAAAGCTTCTCACTCCATTCCACTGTGAGGGGGCTCATCACACTTGGGTGCTCCACTTGGCACCTATTTATCATCCTTGTACACCGTGACAGAAAAATATGACTTAGAGCAATGTGGGTAGATAAAGGGACAGAGTTGGGTACATGAGGAAACCGAGTATGAATTTTTGGGAATACTACCACCATGAACTCACACCTTAGAACACCACAGAAATGGTTCTGCCCCTGGGAAGGTGGGACAGACAGAAATGATTCTCAAATTTTTACGTTCCTAGAAAAGCATGAGTCCTAACGCAGAGAGAATGATTAAGGAATGTCATTTTAGTTTTGAAAGTTCTTACGTTTACATTTAGCTGATCAATGTATCTCCTGTGCAACACAAGCTTAATTATTATTAGGCCTATCATTGTAAAATGATTTTTCTTTCCAGAATGACATTTGGATTAAGGCAGTGTCTGGGACTCGTCACTTGGGGTGCTTATGCCCAGGAAAATCCCTGACACTAGCATACTCAATAAATACAGTTTTTTTTTAGAAGTAAGGAGAAACCTGGAGACAATAATACCACAAAATGGTGGATTTAAGATGATTGTAAATCATTAATTAATATTTCGCAATATATTTTATTAAATAAAAATGTTCAAATTCTTAACATGGAAAATACTTTTCAAAATCCACATACAAACCACAAACTGGAGAAAATGCTGAATCAAATATCAATAAAGTGTTAATAATCTTACAGTACAAAGAACCCACAAAGTCACTGAGAAAAATACTAAGCCCTTAAGATATTAGACAGTAGATCATTGTACATTCCCTACCAAATGAAATAGGGAATTCTTACAGCAGTAATTATAATTGGCCAATAAATAGGTCAAAATAATTCAAAAGAATTACAAATGAAAAATATAAAGTAAAAATTAACCAGAAACATACATTTTCAACTTTTGGTGAAAGTCATAATAAAGGTCAACAAAAAGGGGAAAGTGAGGTAAGTTGTGTCACAACTATTATATACAAAAGAATAAGATGTAACTACTAGAAAACTATTAGCATTATAATAAAATAGTAACTGTGTTAAAACTTTAATTCAAAAAGTTAGTTTCACAGTCATTTCTGCTATGTAAAAATATACACCCTAAAAAAACAAAAACTAGCAAGAAATTTAGACCTAAAGAAGCTTCAGAGGTGCCTCAGAGGTCTCCTCAATTCCCCTAGAAATTAATCTAATGCTTTTACAAACAAACAGCACACACTTTTATTTCAGAGATTACATGAAGGGTGTGTGCCAGGGACAGTCTGGAACTGGCCTCCTCACATTATCCCAAACCTTCCACACTCCTCAGCTCTCCTCCCCTAAACCTTCACCCCAACCACACACACCTTATTCTTCCCTTCCCTGCATCTCTAAGGACCCAGGACAATCAAGGTCTCCTCTCTCTCCAGCCCCCTACACCCACCTCCCATGTCACCTCTGCACAGAGGCCTCCAAGAATAAGAAGCAGCCCCCTCCTGTTTCCCCTCCCACAACAGCCACACAGACAAATCCACACTCTACACACACCTGTGCCTTCAGAACTCCTTGCTCAGGATACAGAAGATTCTTTTTGTTTGTTTTTCTAATATATATATATATATATATAATTATTATTATTATACTTTAAGTTCTAGGATACATGTGCACAACGTGCAGGTTTGTTACATATGTACACATGTGTCATGTTGGTATGCTGCACCCATTAACTAGTCATTTACATTAGGTATATCTCCTAATGCTATCACTCCCTGCTCCCCCCACCCCACGACAGGCCCCTGTGTGTGATGTTCCCCTTCCTGTGTCCATGTGTTCTCATTGTTCAATTCCCACCTATGAGTGAGAACAAGTGGTGTTTGGTTTTCTGTCCTTGTGATAGTTTGCTGAGAATGATGGTTTCCAGCTGCATCCATGTCCCTACAAAGGACATGAACTGACACTATTCACAATAGCAAAGACTTGGAATTAACCCTAATGTCCATCAATGATAGACTGGATTAAGACAATGTGGCACCTATACACCAGGGAATACTACGCAGCCATAAGAAAGGATAGAGAGGATTCTAAATGCTCACAGATGGCACACGCTCTCTCTCTCTTCCTCTGTCTGTCTCTCTCTCTCTCTCTCTCTCTCACACACACACACACACACACATACACAGATTCCCCGCTCACAGGGACCCAGGCCCCGCCCTCCACCATGCTCACCTCGCCGCTGCACTGTGAAGCTCTCCACAACCCCGTAGTTGTATCTGCAGTAGGTGTCCACCTCGGCCCGCCTCCGCTCCAGGAGGTCCTTCTGGCTGTTCCAGTACTCAGCGTCAGGCCGCCCCAGCTCCGTCACCGCCTGGTACTCCCCCAGGTCACTGTTGTAGCGCGCGTACTCCTCTTGGTTATAGATGTATCTGATCAGGTTCCACACTCGCTCCGTCCCATTGAGGAAATGACACTCACACTTAGCCTGCTCCAAGAAACGTGCTGTGGGGACACGAACGATCCGGTCACACGGGCGGCCTCCTGAGAAGACACTGACAGCGACGCCACCAACCCGGGCTCCCTGGGCGGGGTGCGGGCGCTGGGAACCTTAACCGGCCCCACCCGCAACGCCCACCACCAGCAGCCCAGGGGCTCGTCCTCAGTCTTCCTGAGGCGAACCGGGGTCTGGGGGACCAGGCGGGAAAACCCCTTCTGATCCTCAGGCTTTTGGGGACCCCCTCCCTGCCTCCAGCCTGTTCTGGAGAACTCCAAGCAGGAGCTGGAGGAGGATCCGCCCAGCACCGCGGCCCACGCGGCCTCCTTCTGGGAGTCTTCACCTGAAAGACACTCTCTGCTCCTCTCATCCCACACGCTTTACCGGTTCCTTCAACAGCACCCACCGTGTTCATCCTGTGAACCCTTCCTTAGTGCTGACCTTGTGCCTGCCCTGCGCTGCCTCTAGGAATCCAAGCAAAGGAAAACAGACCTCTCCACTCCGCTGGGGGAGCTTAAAGAGCAGTGAACGTGATGGCCAAAAACCAAACACACAAGAGCTTAGACAGGAATGAGAAACGTCAGAAGTGTGGAGTTCTGGAACAGAGAATAAAAGGATGATCTCAATTACATTAGGGTGCCAGAGAAGGACCCTCTGAAGAGTGACAGTTCAGATGTGACTTGACAGGTTAAGCAGGTGAGAGCCAGGGGGCAGAGTGGATGGAGCCTGTGTGTCTGTCTGGACAAAACGGGAGGCACATTTTCAGGTTTAGGAAATCCCATGTACAAAAGGTTGAATTGATGAACTTCTTCAAGAAACTAGAACAAAGTTCACTAAAGCAGAGAGGCTGAGGGGAAGGAAGGTAAAAGATTAGGCTGGAGAAATCACAAGAAGGCAGGTATTGAAAAGCCTCGTGGGTGGTGTTAGGATTTTGGATTTAACTAAAGACAATGGTAAAGTATTGAAGAGTTTTAAGGAGAATAAAACCATGATCCCGGTAAATGTCCACAAACTTTCCTTTGCATTTCTAAATCCACAAAGCTCTGAAATTCAGTTAAAAAAAACTTGTTTCCACAACTCATTTGGCAAATATCATCTGATAAGGGTAAGTGGTCAAAGGTGTCTCAGAGCTCTTATTGGTGACATGTGCTTCTGTAGTTTCAATACATATAAACATACATACAGATATATGTGAAAATATACACATATGTAAAACACTGTATATATTTTTGATGTTTTTGTCTTTATGTTTGAAGTGTGAAAATGACAAAAAATAACTTAAAATAATCCTGTGGGTAAAAGTGAAATGAATAAATAGTAGCATTTTACAATGTGAATAATATAAAATGTAGAATCACTACACAAATCTGAGGCCTGTTAGTGAGAAACAGTTTCAGCAGCATCACTATTTGTGACTTACAAGAGCAAGTTGTTGAAAGTTAATAGAGATAGTGATGACCAACAACTCATGAAAATGTTGAAAAATATTGCATAAGGCAAAAAATAAATATGAAAATATTAAGCTTGCATTGACTAAATGGATTCAACAAGAAAATGGTTGAATTTATGTAACTGTCTAATTTTTTATAATGAAACAACCAAAAATAAACCATAAAAAACTGAACTGTGTGGTGAGTGTATACAAGATGTGAGCCTAGAATTTTCAGAAAGAGCACAGTGTGAACCAGTGCTCTTAGCCTCAGCACTATTGACATTTTGGACCAGATAATTCCTTGTTGATAGCAGAGGCTGTTCTGAATATTGTAGGTTCTTTAGCAGTGTCCCTGGCTTCTACTCATTGAATATCAGAAGAAACCCCTGTTGTGACAACCAAAAATTGTTCCAAACATTGCCACCGTTCACCAACGATGATGGGAGGGAAGGGAGGGGTGGTGAACTATCCCTGGGTAAGAACTACAGGTGTGAACCATCCGAAAAAATCTGTGTTGAACAAGCTACTATTAGTTATGGAGCGCTGAGAATTGCATTGAAAAATATTTGTTGAAAATCTTGGTCCTACATAAAAAGAATGTTTTGTAGAATTCTGGTCCCAATACAGTGCTATCTTTTCAGAAAATGAACTTGATGAGAACCAAGATTTAATGATTTCCTTGCCTTACCAAGTAGCCACTAATCATATCGTTTATCGTTCACATCATCTTTTTTTTTAATTTCTCTGCCACTGGTCCACTAATTTTCTGTAATAATGAATCACAACCACAGCTATTTTATTTCCCATTTGATGCCCCAACTAACTCATTTCTTTCAGTCTCCCACTCCCAACAATACCAGCAGGCATCAAATTTCCAGCCTTGGCCAGAGGCAGAACTCCTGGTTTTGCAGTCAAGTCCCCTTAGAAAGGGAGAAACCAAGAAAATGACATACTCATACAGACAGTTTGCAAAAACGAGCAGGTCCCCAGACTGTGAGCAAGACCTGCAGAAATGTCCCTTTGCCCTTTAGAAATGATGGCAGAGAGGTGTGCACCCTGGATCAAACAATGTCTATCTTTTTATCCCTAAATTATCTAAGTACTTTCTTTACAGACAGAAAGTTAAAAAATAAACATGTGTGAAGTTGCTGTCACTGTGGTTTGCATGACTAGCACTGTAATCCATGTCCATGTGTCTCACTTAGGGTTGACAGATTTGGCAAATAAAACCAGAGGATGCCCAGGTAAATTTGAATTTCCAAGAAATCATGGTTGTGTATCTGAAATTCAGATTTAACTAGGAACATGTATTTTATTTGGTAACTCTAGCCCAACTTGCTAGTCAAACCTCAGAAGAAGGAGTGATTTAATACTTCCTTGTGTTCTTCAACACATGACCATTATAGACATACAGAACTTTTAAAATGATAAATGTGAAATGAATGAAAGTTTCTCCTATACATCGGAACTAGCAGCCCTTGCATCTCTGTCTGCACTCTAAGAAGCAACCTGGTACATTTGAATATCAGAAATTCTGTCAATAATTCAGACACAATATAGTCACTACTCACTAATGATGGTCAAACTCTCAAACTCTAGAATCAGATAACCTGAATAAAAAACATGATCTCTTCTACTTGGGGCAATTTTTACCAACCATAATCCTTTTTGTAATCTATCAAATGCATTTAATAATAGCGTAATCCTCACAGGATTACTGTTAAGTGTAAAATTAAATGATGACTCTTATTAGCACTGATCACATAATAAACACTCAAATGCATTCCCATTTTAACTTTTATGATCCCTATAACTGCAGCTCACATCATTTTATGTATTCCTGAATTCTAGAGCAATTAGTATCTTCATCATGATTTTGCAATTGTCTTCTGTTCTTCTATTAGTTTCATAAGGAATTGTCATTCTGAAAACATAGGGCAGAAACACTGGTTTATGTCTAATAAAGCAGTATACCTAAACCTCACACAAAAGGCATCTGCTGACATAGAAGAAAGGGACTTTCTACATGCTCAGATTTAAACTGCAATCTGATTTCCAGCACTAAATTTGTAACACTGGGTTTTACTCATATCCTCTCAATTTTAGATTCCAGAGATGTATATGTTTTTTAAATACCACAGATACAACAGGATAATTATTGAAATTGCATACTGAAATTCATAGGCCTGGTACACAGTCACTGCAAAATGTTACCTGGCATATACTGATGGCGACCAGATTCATTTTATTTATCACTCCATTCTTATGACCTAGAGTAATAACTGGTATATGTATGCTATGTCATTAATAAATATTGGCTGTGTGAAATACTGGCTGTGTTAAATATTGGCTGTGTGACCTTTTGCATAAGTAGTCAGCACTGCACACAGGGGCTCTCTAGCATTTCCTCGCTAATAATGACTGAGCATCTCTGGTTCACAAGTCCTCCTCCTTCTCTTCAGCTTCTTTTTATTTATTTATTTATTTATTTATTTTTTATTATACTTTAAGTTCTAGGGTACATGTGCACAATGTGCAGGTTTGTTACACACGTATACATGTGCCGTGTTGGTGTGCTGCACCCATTAACTCGTCATTTACATTATGCATATCTCCTAATGCTATCCCTCCCCCCTCCCCCCGGTGTGTGATGTTCCTCTTCCTGTGTCCAAGTGTTCTCATTGTTCAATTCCCACCTATGAGTGAGAACATGTGGTGTTTGGTTTTTTTCTGCTTGTGATAGTTTGCTGAGAATTATGGTTTCCAGCTTCATCCATGTCCCTACAAAGGACATGAACTCATCCTTTTTTATGGCTGCATAGTATTCCATGGTGTGTATGTGCCACATTTTCTTCATCCAGTCTATCATTGATGGACATTTGGGTTGGTTCCAAGTCTTTGCTATTGTGAATAGTGCCACAATAAACATACGTGTGCATGTGTCTTTATAGCAGCATGATTTATAATCCTTTGGGTATATACCCAGTAATGGGATGGCTGGGTCAAACAGTATTTCTAGTTCTAGATCCTTAAGGAATCACCACACTGTCTTCCACAATGGTTGAACTCGTTTACAGTCCCACCAACAGTGTAAAAGTGTTCCTATTTCTCCACATCCTCTCTAGCACCTGTTGTTTCCTGACTTTTTAATGATTGCCATTCTAACTGGTGTGAGATGGTATCTCATTGTGGTTTTGATTTGCATTTCTCTGATGGCCAGTGATGATGAGCATTTTTTCATGTGTCTGTTGGCTGCATAAATGTCTTCTTTTGAGAAGTGTCTGTTCATATCCTTTGCCCACTTTTGGATGGGGTTGTTTGTTTTTTTCTTGTAAATTTGTTTGAGTTCTTTGTAGATTCTGGATATTAGCCCTTTGTCAGATGAGTAGATTGCAAAAATTTTCTCCCATTCTGTAGGTTGCCTGTTGACTCTGATGGTAGTTTCTTTTGCTGTGCAGAAGCTCTTTAGTTTAATCAGATCCCATTTGTCAATTTTGACTTTTGTTGCCATTGCTTTTGGTATTTTAGACATGAAGTCCTTGCCCATGCCTATGTCCCGAATGGTATTGCCTAGGTTTTCTTCTAGGGTTTTTATGGTTTTAAGTCTAACATTTAAGTCTTTAATCCATCTTGAATTAATTTTTGTATGAGGTGCAAAGAAAGGATCCAGTTTTAGCTTTCTACATATGTGCAAAAAATCACAAGCATTCTTATACACCAATAACAGACAAACAGAGAGCCAAATCATGAGTGAACTCCCATTCACAGTTGCTTCAAAGAGAACAGAATACCTAGGAATCCAACTTACAAGGCATGTGAAGGACCTCTTCAAGGAGAACTACAAACCACTGCTCAACTAAATAAAAGAGGACACAAACAAATGGAAGAACATTCCATGCTCATGGATAAGAAGAATAAATATCGTGAAAATGGCCATACTGCCCAAGGTAATTTATAGATTCAGTGCCATCCCCATCAAGCTACCAATGACTTTCTTCACAGAATTGCAAAAAACTACTTTAAAATTCATATGGAACCAAAAAAGAGCCCGCATTGCCAAGACAATCCTAAGCCAAAAGAACAAAGCTGGAGGCATCATGCTGCCTGACTTCAAACTGTACTACAAGCCTACAGTAACCAAAACAGCATGGTACTGGTACCAAAACAGAGATATAGACCAATGGAACAGAACAGAGCCCTCAGAAATAATACCACACATCTACAACCATCTGATGTTTGATAAATCTGACAAAAACCAGAAATGGGGAAAGGATTCCCTATTTAATAAATGGTGCTGGGAAAGCTGGTTCTTCAGCTTCTTTAGCCTTTTCCTTTAGAATCAGCTGGCTCCCTGAACCCAGAGCACAGTCCTTCCCTGAAGCTCTCTACTCAAAACAGTCAATCTTAACTTCGTCCTCACTTCTACTTGCTCTTCAAATGGTCCAATCCAGTTTCCTCCCTGGATACTCCATTGACTGCAAATATCAACTCCAGCAAACCAGCAACCCAGCACTTGCTTCTCTGTCACGTTCTCACTTCCCTCTCCTCTTAGTGGTACTCACCACAATTGGCCTCTCCCTTCTCCTTGAAAATAATCTGTTTTTCTTCACTTACACGCATTATGTTATCTTGGGTTTTCTCCAGCCTCCCTGGGCTCTTTCTCAGCCCCCTTTGCTGGCCTGTACCCTCTTCTTTTTTCTCCACACAATCCATCTCCCTATGTATCATCTTCCACTCCCTGGAATTTAACACACTACACTTATTGATGCCGCCAACATAAATACCTGAAGCCCTAGCTTCACCTCACCATGAGTCTCTTAAATGCCATTGACCTTCGGATTGCTCCACATAAATGTCAATAAATCATCTCAAATTTAAACAAAACTTTTATTTCCAACCACCCACTTCAAATCATTTCCTCCCATAGTTTTTCCTATCTCAATAAACAACACTACCACCCACTTATTTGTCAAAACAAAATCCTTAGGAATAAGCTTGATTGTTCTAACCCCTTTACAGTAATTCATTAGCAAGCTAAGCAAAAATACATGCCAAGTCTGTCCACTTTATCTTTTTCACTCTCTTTATCACTAATGCACTCCATGAAGCCACAAGCCTGTTTTCCCTGGATAATTCCCTGCTGTGCTCCTAAATAGTCTTCCTGACCACTTTTGAACCCCAACAATCCAATTCCTACAGAGTAGCTAGAGTTAGTTTTAAAAATTGAATATAGGCCGGGTGCAGTGGCTCACGCCTGTAATCCCAGCACTTTGGGAGGCCAAGGTGGGCAGATCACGAGGTCAGGAGATCGAGACCAACCTGGCTAACACGGTGAAACCCCATCCCTATTAAAAATACAAAAAATTAGCCGGGTGTAGTGGCATGCGCCTGTGGTCCCAGTTACTCGGGAGGCTGAGGCAATAGAATCGCTTGAACCTGGGAGGCAGAGGTTGCAGTAAACCGAGATTGTGCCACTGCAATCTAGCCTGGGCAACAGAGCAAGACTCGATCTCACAAACACACACACACAAAATTGAATATAAATTGACTCTCCGTGTAACCATACAGTAGTTTCTCATATCTATTTAAATAAAATTCAGTCTGGGCACAGTGGCCCACTCTTGTAATCCCAGCACTTTGGGAGGCCAAGGCAGACAGATTATCTGAGGTCAGGAGTTCGAGACCAGCCTGGTCAACATGGTGATACCCCATCTCCACTAAAAATACAAAAAAATAGCCAGGTATGGTGGTGGGTGCCTGTAATCCCAGCTACTTGGGAAGCTGAGGCAGGAGAATCACTTGAACCCAGGAGGCGGAGGTTGCAGTGAGCCGAGATTGTGCCATTGCACTCCAGTCTGGGCCACAAGAATGAAACTCCGTCTCAAAATAAATAAATAAATGAAATTCAAATTTTTTACCGTGGATTTCAGAGCCTAATATGATGAGGCTCCTGACTTCCTCTCTGTGTTCTACCTCATCTTCTGCCCCCCTATTTCCTTGCTTCCTATACATCAGCCCCTCTAGCCTTCTTTCTCTCCCTCCACATAATTTCCCACACCAGGGCTTTCCCTCGATTCAGTCTCCCTGGAACTTTCGTCCGTTAGATCTTCACGACTGTCTACTTACTTTGTTGTCTCAGCTGAATGTCACTTTCTCAGGTAGGGCTCCCTAAACATATGAACTAAAGTAGGTGAATCCATTTCTATCGTTCCGACAAACCTGTTGTCTTTTCTTCAGTGCACTATGACTCTCTAACATTTTCTTTTTTGTTAAATGCTTATTGGGTTAGTGTCTGTCTCCTCTATTGTTGTGTAACTTCCTTGAGAGTCGGGACCCTCTCTATCTTACTCAAATAGAATGATTTGAACCTAGAATGGAGCCTAGTACACAGTAGCTGCTGAGAAAAATAAGTGTGGTTTACACGAATAAACCAGGGTATGAGAACTGATCACTGTGGGGATCCCGGAAAGCAAGAAGGGGCTCAAGCTCCAGCACCCTTTCATTTTGATGTCACACTAGACCCCTTCTCCCCCCGGTGAGAAATACAGGCAAACTTCTTCTTTCTCCTCCTTCTACTTGGAAGAAGAATTCACAGATAAAGAAACAGTGATTTAAGAAAAAGGAAATTTTTTTTATTAAGAGTCATTTCTTTTTGCCTGGGCACAGTGGCTCACATCTATAATCCTAGCACGATGGGAGGCCAAGGCAGGAGGATTGCTTGAGTCCAGCAGTTTAAGACCAGCCTGGGCAACATGGCAAAATCTCATCTCTACCAAAATTAAAAAATTAGCTGGGCGTGGTTGCCTGCCTCTATTCCCAGCTATTCCGGAGCTTGAGGAGGGAAGATCGCTTGAGCATGGGAGGCAGTGGTTGCAGTGAGCCTCGATCACACCACTGAGCTACAGCCCGGGTGACAGAGCTAGGCCCTATCTCAAAAAGAAAAAAATTATGTCTTTCAATGGATCTCATAGTGCTAAGGATCTGTGCAAGCTTTAGAGATTTTTGGAAATGATGACAACATAGCTGGGGAAAAGAGAGAAAGTGGAGGAAGAGGTAAGCAGACATGGCTAATTAAGGAAAGCTGAGGGCATGATGGGTGAACCTATGAAATTTAGGACAAGACCCCAGTAAGACAATGAGTTTCCAGGACTTGCTCATTGACTTTCAGCCTTATGAGACATGAACAATGTCCACATTGTCTCAAAAACCCCACACAGAGTATATAGTTTGAACATTATTACATTTCTGATATTTGATTATTTTTGACTTACAAAAATAGAATTTCATACAATTTATACTACATTAGTTAAATCTCTTCTGTCATGTCTAGTTAGAGCATGTAAGAGATGTAGGAGAAACAAGTATAGAACGGTTAAAAAAGATTCATAATAAACACTAACCTGGGCCGGTTTTCCAGAGGATGCCTAAAGTTCTTTAGGCACCAATGAATACCGCATAAATGCTCTGTATCTGTAAGGTGACTCCACGTACTAAAGATCTCAGCTTCAGTTCCACGGATTTTTCCCCATAAGAAAGAAAGAGCACTAAGTATAACTTTTGTCAGAGAACCTACATAAGCAACAGGGGTACAGGCTTTATAAACATTGGAGTTCAGAAAGAAAAGAAAGGAGATAATGGGGAGGCCACTGGATCCATCCTCACATATGAGGAAGAGGGGCCAACACCAAAGGTCCTGTGGAGGACATAACACTGGATCGTCTAGGAGAGACCCTTTGAATTCCCTTGACTCCCACAAAATTTTCAGTAAAAACCTCCTTTTGTCTGACATAAGTCAACATAATAAAGGGAAGTGCTGTATGGGGAAATTATTTTAGCATACTTATTTCTAAATCCTCTAAAGACCCTGAGGACATGTGATGCATAGGTTTTATTGGTGGAGATTTGAGAAGAAATGACCTGTGTGTAGGCCCTTTACACAAATCTCATGGACAGGACAAGTAGCCAAGCGCCTTTTGTGGTGGAAATAATTTGGGATCCATCTGATAAAGATGGGCAATCTCTGAAGAAAGTGTCACAATTTCATAAGAGACATGGCCTGGGCACAATGTTAACAAAACTTCCTATTTTTGCCCCCACCCCATAGTAGCTCTGCAGTCACAATGTGCACTTACGTTGGGTGTCCCCAGCCAAAGCCAGTGGGGAGCTCAGCACCGTCAATGTCACTGTCAGCGCTGCCATACAGGAGCCTCCAGGGAGCTTCAGACACACCATGCTGGAGAAGAGGACAAGACCAGTGGTCAGAGCAGCAGGCAAGTCTCACTCAGGGAGAACTATGACCCCCCTCCACCCACATTTCAAATTATAGGAAGGAAGTTACTGATTTCCTTGCTCCTTGATTGGGTAATCTCGTGTTGGAGAACCAGTCAGCATCTGAGTTCACTAGCATCATCAGTTGCTGGTCAGAGATGCTGTATGAAGGTCCTCCTCTGAAACAATTGTCTTCTTTAAAGGATTGTTTTAATTTAGTACT
Source organism: Homo sapiens (assembly GCF_000001405.40). Taxonomy (NCBI): domain Eukaryota; kingdom Metazoa; phylum Chordata; class Mammalia; order Primates; family Hominidae; genus Homo; species Homo sapiens. The sequence goes on from NT_167246.2 coordinate 3,855,584, forward strand.
CAAAAGGTTTGATCCAGTTGCATGTAAAACATTTTAATTGGGTCCCTATTGTGAGCCAGCTCTGAGCTGGTCAGTGATGTGTTCACAAGTTTGAGCCTTGTAAGAGCATTCATTTCCCACTTGACAAGAGAAGTATTTGCAGCAGTGACCGTGTTTAGGAGTAAATGAGATGGAGGGAACATGGTTGCAAATGTGCAGACCTTTAATCTGGTCCTTATTGCACCATATCTTAATGTCGTAGATTTGGGAAAATTACTTCATGTCTCACAGTTGAAATGAAGGCACCGTGATCTTTTAGGTCTTTCAATACTGGAAAATGCTGTGATTCTGTGGATGCCTCAAGGAGCAGCAGCCCCGGGTATCTGATGATATGACAGAATGACAGCTGTTGACTAGAGAGCTTAATCTGCACCTCTTTACAGGTGGGGATGTCTTTAATAAGTTAAAGGAAATGGAAAGTTAATAATTTAATCTGAGTAAAAGGTTGTTTTCAAGTGTGTCTCCTGATGCTGCCCTCAAGTTTAGTGGCAGCTCCAGAACACACACAGGCAAGGGGCTTGCAGGGGCCACCTATGTGCAATGGAGGCTCTGAAGGTGCCTTTGTACAGCACTTACCCTAAAAATGTGATAAGGTCAACTGTGCAATCCAAGTATTCAGGGGGCTGAGAGATCGATCAAAGACTCAACGTGAGCTGTTGACAGAACAACTCTGTTTTAAAATAATTAATATTTTACGTGAAGAGTGTTTAATCCCTCATTCCTGGTACCCATTAGGATTTCCTCATTTGACTGAGGCTATGGCCCTTTACTACTGTGCTTCTCTTGTTTTATCGTAAGGGAAGATATAAGAAGACTGTGCTAACTAATACGTTACAGAATGTTCAGGAAAGAGAGTCCTAGGGAAAAACTATGAATTACATCAGTTGATGTATCATGTAATTTTAAACATATAATTCTACATTTAGATAATTATTATGCTTTATATTAATATAAATGTGAAATCTGAGATTCAGAATGGACTTCACAGTACAACTATACATGTAAAGTTCTGCATTAATTCACACTCTACCACAGTTCTGATAGGCACTCCTTCCTTATGTGCCTTAGTGTTTCCAGGGGCAGGATTCTCACCATGCTGCAGCAGAAATAAGCATTTTACTTTGTACTCAGAATTGTACTAAGGGCTTTCTATACTTCATATGTTTATTTCATTCTCACATCAGCTCAGTAAAATAAACACCCTTTTCATGCTTACAGGTGGAGAGAATAAAGAGATGGAGGTAAAACAACTTTTCCAAAGATACAAAGCTAGTAAAAGGTACACTATGGAGTGAGCCAAATTATCTACCCCTCAAGCTCAGCCACTATATCATACTCCTTCACATTCTATTTCTGAGAATAATGTTCCTTGTATTAAAATTATTTATATCCCTATAATTTATGGGTGTGCATAGCAATAAGACTACTTCTTTTAATGAATGGTATCATTACATAATTTGAGAAAGCCACTATGTAGCAATTCTGGTTCCTTCAAAAGAATCCCGTCATCATCATCGACAAGAGGAAGATCCCGTCAAAAACAAACAAAAACAAAAACAAAAAACACAAAGGAAGAAAAAAGAAAAGAAGAAAGAATTTGTGAAAAAAAGAAACTAATTGTGATGATGACAATCTAGGAAAGCCATCTAAGGTTCACCTTAGCATTTTAGGATAAAAGGGTGGTGATGATGGCAGTGGCGAGCTCTCCAGAGTGGCTAGTTGCAGTGGGAAGTTGCAAGCAGTGGTGGCAGGAACGACTGTGGCAGCAGTGGCCATGGTGGGACCCCTGTGCCCCATGTCCCCTGTGCCTTGTGTCCCTGAAGCAGCTGACTGCGCTGCCCCAAACCTTGAGCAGTTGGCAGGACCTGCCCCCAGGCCCGGAGCCTACACCAGTCTTGCATTGCTGCTCTCACCCTGCAGCTGTGGGGAGGGCATGGAGCTGGGGCCATGTCTCAGGGGCCTGGGGTGAGAAGTGGGAGTTGCCCCACTTTGGGGACTCATCCAGCAGCAAGGCCATTGTCCCACCCTGCTGAGGGAGCACTCTTCCTAGGTCTCAGGAGGAGGCTGTGCCTGAGGCCACCCAGGGTTGTGCCCTCGGGGGTGGTCACCAAGCCTGATGCTCCCCATGGCCAAGTCCTGCCGCAATCTGCTCCCCAAGGTGCCTCCCCAGCCCCATCCAGGCGAGGGAGGTCCCTGGGCACCCCTGAGTTCTAGGAGAAGATCTTGCAGAGACATCACCTTTGCCCCAGATGCCAGCCTGGGCCCGGCGAGTGGAGCTGCCCACTCCAGGCTGCAAGAAGGTGTGACAGGGGCTACCTGCAGGCTCCATGGACTGGGCAGGAGACCGACCCTCCCGCAGCAGGGTCCAGGCCTCTCTGCACTCCACGCCCTCAAGGCTGAGAAGGCCTCCATGTCCCTGTAGGCTCCGGGGTGTCTGCTCCCACTGCCTGGCCTCTCCCCTGGTCTCTCCCAGCTCCCGCTCTGATCTCAGAGTGGAGATGGGCCCAGCCCCAGTGCTGTCACAGCCTGGCCGGGTGTGTGCACACTCAGGGCTGCATTGACATACCAGTCTCCTGCCACCTCAGCCATGGGGAAGCTGAGGGAAGACGGGCTGAGGGAAACTGGCATGGCCTATAGGTGCCCCTTGGCATGAGCAGCCTGGTTGCCATGGATAGCGGTGGGAGGCAAATAGCCTCTATGTCAGAAAGAGGCAGGTCCCTGGTGAGGCCTTGCTCACCAGGCTGGGCTGCCAGTCCTGCTGACAGGAGTGAGAATTTGTGCCTTTTCTGGGCCTGCCCCATGGCCGTCCATGGTCCTCACTTCCTCCCCTCTGAGGCCTGTAAAAGCCCTGGGCTCAGGCAGACATGAGCAGAGGATGGAGAGAGCTAAGAGAGAGGACAGGGAGATGAGGGATGACTTGCTGCAGAGAAGAGTTGCCCTCCCCAGGGTCTCCTCTCTGCTGAGAACTGAGGAGAGAATAGGACGTTCAGCTGCAGAGAGGAGCTATCCTCTCTGCAGAGAGCTGAACAGGTGTCGGGACAACCTGGTTATGGAGAGGAGCTGCCCACTGCAGGTCTCGGAGCTGTTCTATGGCTTAATAAAGCTCCTCTTTGTCCTGCTCACCCTCCGCTTGTCTGCATACCTCATTCTTCCTGGACGCAGGACAAGAACTGGGGATCTGCTGAACGGTGAGGCTAAAACACCTGTAACACAAACATAGCTGAAACATGCCCATTGCTCGCCATGTTGTGGGCAAAGAGAAGGAGAGAAGAGCTGTGGCTCTTCAGGGAGCCCAAACCTGGGAGCTCACCGAGCCAGGGCTGTGGCTTACTTTTTGGGGCCTGTGGTTCCTGGGGTTCCCAATCTTCCAGGTGCCACCATGTTCCCCAGTGCCAGCTGTGGAAGCTGCTTGCAGTGCACCTGGTCCAGTTGCAGCCTCACAGGCAGCTGGCACCCATACTGGTGCCTAGAGCTGCCCACCCTGCACAGTCAACATTCCTGGCTCTACACAGGGGCTGGACCCCATGCTCACTTGCTCACATATCCCTCACCACCTGACCTTTGGCAAGTGTCAGATCCAGGCCAGTAGTGTGAACCACAGCCTGCCAGGCGAAGTGGGTGGAATGAGCTCAGCTGGCCCGAGCAAAACTCAGGCAAAGGCATTACCAGTCACAGGATTCTGGCAAGAAAAGCAAAACGCCAATGATCTCGTAACAGTGACATGGTTAGGCTGGCTCTGTTTCCCCACCCAAATCTCATCTTGAATTGTAATCCCCATAATCTCCACATGTCCAGTGTGGGACCTGATGGGAGGTGATTAGATCATGGGGGCCATTTCCCTCATGCTGTTCTTGTGATAGTGAGTGAGTTCTCACGAGATCTGATGGTTTTGTAAGTGTTTGACATTTCCTCCTATGGGTACATTCTCTCTTGCCTGCTGCCATGTAAGATGGTCTTCTTACTCTTCTGCCATGATTGTAAGTTGCCTGAGGGCTTCCCATCCATACAGAACTGTGAGTCAATTAAACCTTTTTCCTGCCAGGCACAGTGGCTCATGCCTGTAATCCCAACACTTTGGGAGACCTAGGCGGGTGGATTATGAGGTCACGAGATTGAGACCCTCCTGGCTAACACAGTGAAACCCTGTCTCTACTAAACATACAAAAATTAGCTGGGGCTGGGCGCGGTGGCTCAAGCCTGTAATCCCAGCACTTTGGGAGGCCAAGGCGGGCAGATCACCTGAGGTTGGGAGTTCGAGACCAGCCTGACCAGCATGGAGAAATCCTGTCTCTACTAAAAAAATACAAAAATCAGCCGGGCATGGTAGCTCATGCCTGTAATCCCAGCTACTCAGGAGGCTGAGGCAGAAGAATTGCTTGAACCAGGGAGGCAGATGTTGTGGTGAGCCTAGATTGTGCCATTGCACTCCAGGCTGGACAACAAGAGCGAAACCTAGTCTCAAAAAAAAAAAAAAAAATTAGCCAGGCATTGTGGCATGCAGCTGTAGTCCCAGTTACTCAGGAGGCTGAGGTAGGAGACTCACTTGAACCCAGGAGGCAGAGGTTGCAGTGAGCCGAGATTGCACCACTGCACTCCAGCCTGGCGACAGAGCTAGATTCCGTCTCAAAAAAAAAAAAAAAAGAGAAAAAGAAAAAAAAAAAGAAAATTTTTTGTTTGTTTGTTTTTAGTTTTTTTGAGATGGAGTCTTGCTCTGTCACCAGGGTGGAGTGCAGTGGCATGATCTTGGCTTGCTGCAACCTCTGCCTCCCAAGTTCAAGTGATTCTCCTGCCTCAGCCTCCCGAGTAGCTGGGACTGCAGGTGCACGCCACCACACCCAGCTATTTTTTTTTTTTTTTGTATTTTTAGTAGAGATGGGGTTTCACCTTGTTGGCCAGGATGGTCTCGATCTCTTGACCTTGTGATCTGCCCACCTCGGCCTCCCAAAGTGCTGGGATTACAGACGTGAGCCACCACGCCTGGCCCCTTTTTCTTTATAAATTACCCAGTCTCAGGTATTTTCTTACGGCAATGTAAGAATGAACTATTACAGGTGGCAAAGAAAAGTAATTGTTTATCAATAACATACTGAAATAGGGTTAATGGGAGCATTTTCAAAACTTGTTCCCATGATTTTATTGTCTCCATGAAATGCTTCTGGAATATACCACATAGAATTCTTTTTCTACTGTGGAATTTTCTGAACATTCTATGGGGACATTTTTCATGTACTTATCGCTTCAAGTTTCTTCAAATAGTAATTTTTCCAAAATACTATACTATTTTTGATGGTTCTTTGGTGAATTTTCTGGTGTTTGAGCTGGTTATTTGCAGTGAGGGGAGCTGCAGGATTTGTGTGATCCCTTCATCCTGAATAGTCTGAATGTTGAATGTATCATATAAGGTCTGTTATTGTTAGAGAAGGCAGATAGTCAGAAATGGGAGCCCCTGGGAAAAAAAGTGTTGGAGTCAGCGCTCACTGACAGTCAGCACTGTGCACTAATAGCAAAAAGGGCAATGGCTACACTGGCTACATCTGGCCTTGTGGTTGGTCCATCCGGCCTTGGAGGGGACTCATCAGGTCCTAGCCAGAAATTGCCATGGCAGGGACTTTCTGCACTAATGAAATTGTGCATTCCTCCAATAACTTACCTAGAATAGCCTTTTGCTCACTATGATAGTAAAAAACACAGCTCTGGGTGGAGATTTTAAATACTGAGACATGCAACATATACAGTAGCAAGTACAAGACAGAGCATGCGCACCCAAAGAGTCCTCCTGAAACATGCTTGCAAGTGACACCCCTCAGGCCCCTTCATGAATAATCATGTGAGATTCTCATAAAGAGAGTCCGTCAGCACTGGCTGCTGCTGGCTCCTTCTTTTGAGCAGCCCACTCTGTCTCCTCTTCCAGAGCGTACTGTCTCTTTAAATAAACACTGCTACTATTTTTCCAGCTGGAACAGTCAGAACTGTTTTCCACTTCTCTCTAGGAATGCACTTTATTTTCCTTCAATAAACTCTGCTACTCAACCATTGCTATGCATCTCTTGGCTGAATTCTTTCTTCCAAGTTAGATAACAATGGAGGATTCGTGCACTTCTTAGTAAAAGAATTAATTAGAAATATCCAGGCTCATTGGGCTTGGTCTATTTCTGAGCAAGTGCAGGCAATTCTGTTGCTGTGGTCTAGTCCTCAGCAGGACAATGCTAAAGTAGGGTTTGTTTGTTGGGAGATCTCTACTGGGCAATCGGTTCAGAATCAGTTTTTAGTTCTTCAGCCTGCAAGTCAATGACATGTCTGTATCTTCAGTGTAGTGAATCTGAAACCCTGGGATTTGGCCTCTGAGAATGGGTGAGACAGATGGAGAGGAGGAGATAGGGGGTAAACTGTGGAGCAGAATGAGAAGAAGACCCACAAATATTACAAGATTTACATATCAGCATTTCTCATTCCAGACTTAAAGAGGAATGAGATTAGACACTGCAGACTGACATTGCCTGTCCCTTTAGAAAAAGCCTTGGATGCCTGTTTTATTACCAGGAGAACAGTCTGACTTATTACTGAAACCATCATATATTTGGACATATGTATTTGGGTGGAAAAACTGAGTAATGGGAGCAGTGGCAGGATACAGCATTAAGATGAGAAGAAAATATTAGAAAAACAGTGAGCTATTGCTCATTTGTCTGTAAAAGTATGATGATACTTATTTCTAAAATGGTTACTAGAACCTACCACAAACCATAAAGGTGAATTATCAATGACAGTGAGATAGACTGCAAATAAACGTTGAGTTAGATTTGGATTTCATCTGGGCTGTATCATATACTAGGTATGTTTTCACTTGTATCCTACTTATCTTAGCCTCAGATTCCTCATAAAAATACTGCTGTTAATTTTTACTACATTGAATTATTATCAGAATTAAAGGAAAAATGTAAGCAAAGTAATTAGGTACCATGTTTGGTGATAATAAAATATTGCAAAAACTAGACTTTCCGTTTTTTTCTTCAAAATTTCTACAGCCGAATTTTATAAAATAAAACAATCACACACCAAGGCGGCATGACCTTGTAAGACTTACTAATAAATAACAAGTTTCTCTACCTATGGTTTATAGAATCCAAGCAGAATTTTGAGAATGTTAGAGATAGAATCGGCATACATATTTTGTAACATATCTATAATTTTAATATAAAATAAGTAGATGAGCAATACAGAATGCAGTCAAATGCAGACAAATATGGAATAAAAAAGCAAAAATAAATCTATATCATTCCATGTAACAAGACCATTTTTGAAGTAGTTTAAAGTGTAGAGAAAAATTGCGGAGAAATTTCAGGGACTTCCCACATCCCTTCTTCCCTAAAACAGCCCTCTGCTCAATTTCTCCTATTATTAACATCCTGCATCAGTGTGGTACACTTGTTACAAATGATGAACCAATACTGATACTTACGTTAACTGAGGTCCATAGTTGAATTAGGGTTCATTCATATTATACAGCTCTGTGGGTTTTGATCAATACATAACGTCATATATCTACCATTAAAGTCGAACTGACCCGAGTCCCATAGACAGTTTTTCTTTTAAATCTGCATTTAAATGGACACTTCTGATCTTAAATTTAAACTTACATTTGTCTTATCTGAATTGCTTTCCAAAAAAAGATCCCCCAGGCCTCTTAAAAAGTATCAAAGAACTGGAACTCACCAGATCATCTCATCCAGACAATGAGACTCCAGGTTCCCCATTCATCATGATTGTTCCCTTACCCTTCCCTAGTTCCTGTTTTCCCACACATAGTTACATTTCTTCCCTGCTAGATAAACTCCTAATTTTAGTCAGTCACAGAGATGGATTTGACACTAGTCTCCCATCTCCTCAGCTGCAGCACCTGATTAAAGATTAAAGCCTTCTTCTTTGGCAGTACTCATTGTCATCTCAGTGATTGGCTTTGTGTGTGGTGAGCAGCAAGATCCAGACCAAAGCCCTTGTGTGCAAGACCTAGACTAAACCCCTGGTGTTTCAGTAACAAAAGTATCCTGCGAAGTAGTTTTGCTGACCTACAATTGTCCCAGGCTCCACCTACTCATTCATTTCTCTTCCTCCTGAACCCCTGGAAACCACTATTTACTGTCTCTGTATTTTTGCCTTTTCCAGAATGTTATATAGTTGTAATCATATGGGATATAGTTCTTTTTAGACTGGCTTCTTTCACTTAACGATATGCATATAGGTTTTCTTCATGTCTGTTCATAGCTTGATAGCTTATTTCTCTGTAATTTTAAATAATAACCCATGATATGGATCTACCACAATTTGTTTATCCACTCACTTACTGGAGGACATCTTGGTTGCTTTGAATTTTTGGCAATTATGAATAAAGCTGCTATAAACATCGGTGTACACTTGTTTGTGTGGACAGAATTTTCCACTAATTTGGGTAATACTTAGGATTGCAATTGCTGAATCTTATGGCAGAGTATGTTTAGCTTTGTAAGAAACAGCCAGAGTGTCTTCCAGGCACAGTCGCTCACGCCTGTAATCCCAACACTTTGGGATGCCAAGTCGGGCAGATCACGAGGTCAAGAGATCGAGACCATCCAGGCCAACATGGTGAAACCCCATCTCTACTAAAAATATAAAAATTAGCTGGGGGTGGCGGGTACCTGTAATCCCAGCTACTTGGGAAGCTGTGGAAGGAGAATTGCTTGAACAGGGGAGGTGGATGTTGCAGTGAGCTGAGATCTTGGCACTGCACTCCAGCCTGGTGACAGTGCAAGACTCCGTCTCAAAAGGAGCTAGACAAATCCACGGTATTTCAGTAACAAAAGCATCATACAAAATAATTTCCCTAACTATGCCTGAGACTCAACGTATTCACGCATCTCTTCTCCTCCTGAACTCCTGGTCTATTTACTCTCTGTATTTTTGCCTTTTCTACAGTGTCATACAGTTGTGATTTTACAGTATAGAGCTTTTTCAGGCTGGCTCCTTCCACTTAGCAATATGCCTATAAGTTTCCTCCATGTGTTTTCATAGCTTGGTAGCTTATTTCTCTTTACTGCTGAACAATATCCCATGGTATGGATATATCACAATTTCTTTATCCACTCACCTATTGAGGACATCTTGGGGGCTTCGAGTTTTTGGCAATTATGAATAAGACTGCTATAAACATCCATGTACGGGTATTTGTGTGGACATAAGTTTTCCACTCATTTGCTCAGAGGTGCCATTGCTGGATTATATAGTAAGATTGTGTTTAGCTTTGTAACAAACATCCAGAGAGTCTTTCAAAGTGGCTGTACTGTTTTGCATTCCCACCAGCAATGAATCAGAGTCCTTGATTTTCTAAATCCTTGCCAGCATTTGGTTCTGTGAGAGTTTTGGATTTCAGTCAGAAAATAAAAAATGCTTTTTAATTCCTTACACCTTATACAAAAATTAATTCAAGATGGATTAAAGACTTAAATGTTAGACCTAAAACCATAAAAACCCTAGAAGAAAACCTAGTCAATACCATTCAGGACATAGGCATGGGCAAGGACTTCATGTCTAAAACACCAAAAGCAATGGCAACAAAAGTCAAAATTGACAAATGGGATCTAATTAAACTAAAGAGCTTCTGCACAGCAAAAGAAACTACCATCAGAGTGAACAGGCAACCTTCAGAATGGGAGAAAATTTTTGCAATCTACTCATCTGACAAAGGGCTAATATCCAGAATCTACAAAGAACTCAAACAAATTTACAAGAAAAAAAACAAACAACCCCACCAAAAAGTGGGCAAAGGATATGAACAGACACTTCTCAAAAGAAGACATTTATGCAGCCAAAAGACACATGAAAAAATGCTCACCATCACTGGCCATCAGAGAAATCAAAACCACAATGCAAATCAAAACCACAATGAGATACCATCTCACACCAGTTAGAATGGCAATCATTAAAAAGTCAGGAAACAACAGGTGCTGGAGAGGATGTGGAGAAATAGGAACACTTTTACACTGTTGGTGGGACTGTGAACTAGTTCAACCATTGTGGAAGTCAGTGTGGTGGTTCCTCAGGGATCTAGAACTAGAAATACCATTTGACCCAGCCATCCCATTACCGGGTATATACACAAAGGATTATAAATCATGCTGCTATAAAGACACATGCACACGTATGTTTATTGTGGCACTATTCACAATAGCAAAGACTTGGAACCAACCTAAATGTCCAACAATGATAGACTGGATTAAGAAAATGTGGCACATGTACACCATGGAAAACTACACAGCCATAAAAAATGATGAGTTCATGTCCTTTGTAGGGACATGGATGAAACTGGAAAGCATCATTCTCAGCAAACTATAGCAAAGACAAAAAACGAAACACCGCATATTCTCACTCATAGGTAGGAATTGAACAATGAGAACACTTGGACACAGGAAGGGGAACATCACACACCGGGGACTGTTGTGGGGTCGGGGAAGTGGGGAGCGATAGCATTAGGAGATATACCTAATGCTAAATGACGAGTTAATGGGTGCAGCACACCAACATGGCACATGTGTGCATATCTAACAAACCTGCACATTGTGCACATGTACCCTAAAACTTAAAGTATAATAATAATAAAATTTTTAAAAAATGCTTTCTAAAAACGTTTTACTTTGAAATCATTATAGAATCACAGGAAATTGCAAAGACAGAACAGAGAACATATGTGTACCCTTTCATCCAGATTTTCTAAATGTTTATATTTTAAGTAGCTCTAGTGAGAGGTGAAGCTGGCTGGGCTTCTGGGTCAGGTGGGGTCCTCGGTAGAAGTTGCTAGTTGAGCTCATTTGGGGTTCCATTTGTAAGACCATCTGTAGCTTGACGGTCTCGATTGTAGAGGAAACAAATTTGACAAGGAGGTTAAAAATACAGGGCCCAAAGGCGAGTAATAGCAAGATGGCTGCCGTGGGACCTAGAAAGGGAGAAGCCATGTTGCTCAACTCCAGAGGTTGGTATAAGAGTTTGAAAGGCATTGTCTTATTTCAGAAGACTTTTCCTGTGGGAAGGCTTAAGGCTGGAGCTTGAGTGGGCTCCTTCCAGTGCCCAGACTTCAGGGTTGATTCCCTCCTCAATCAGGGGACAAGAAATGGGTAACTTTTTCCCAATATTCATGTAGATAATGGCTCCAGCTTTGGCTAATATGTCCTTCCCTAATAAGGGTATGGGACTTTCAGGCATAACAAGAAAGGCATGTGAAAAGAGCAAAGTCTCCCAATTACAACTGAGGAAGTGGGAGAAATACCTGGTTACAGCCTTTCCCGGGATTCCTCGGATAGTAATGGACCTTGAGGACAGCTGTCCAGGACAGGAGATTAACACTGAGAAAGCCACGCCAGTGTCCAGGAGGAAGTCAATTTCCTGGCCTTCAATGGTTATACATACCCAAGGCTCAGTGAGAGTGATGACATGAGCTGGTGCTTGCCCCAAGCACCCTCAGTCCTGTTGTTGGATCATCTGGTTGGGGGCTTCTGGCCCAGAGAAACTTTGTCATCTGGGGCAGCGCACCTTCCAGCGACTTCTTTGGCATAGAGGACATGGGCTAGGGGGTGGCTTTTTTCTCATTGGACAATCTTTTTTAAAGTGTCCTTGTAAACCACACTGATAACAAGCCCTACCAGGTGACTGGCCTACTCCATTTTCTATCTTTTCTGAACCACCAAGGTCTATTCGTCTGAGGGCCATGACTAAGGCTGCGGGCTTTCTCTGATCTCTCTATTCCTTTTTGGCCTATTCCTCTTGGTCCCTACTATAGAACACCAAGGTTGCCAGGTTTAATAATGCCTCCAGATTTTGTTCAGGGCCCAGGGCTCACTTTTGGAGCTTTCTCCTGATATCTGCGGCTGATTGGGTAATAAACTTATCTTTTAGGATCAATTGACCCTTGAGTGAGTGGGTGACAGGAGAGTATATTTTCTTAAGGCCTCCCATAGCCACTCAAGGAATGCAGAAGGATTTTCTTCTTTTCCCTGAGTTATGGTGGACATCATTGAATAATTTATAGGCTTTTTCCTAATTCTCCTTAGTCCTTCTAGAACACAGGTCAAAAGATGTTTACGATTCTAGTCCCCATGATCTGAGTCTAGATCATAGTGGGGATCCATACTGGGGATGGCTTGCTGATCAGTAGGGAATTTGTCCCTTTCTTCAGCTGTCATTCTATCATTTACTTGACTAAGATACCAGGTAGCTCCAAACTCTCAGGCTGCAGCTAAAGCCACATTCTTTTCATTAAAGACTAGGGTTTGATCTAACAATAGCATGACATCTCTCCAAGTGAGATCGAAGGTTTGCCCTAGACTCTGTAGGACATCTGTGTACCTAACAGGATAATCTGAAAACTTCCCCAGGTCTGCCTTGATCTGCTTTAAATCAGAGAGGGAGAAGGGGACATGTACCTGGGTTGGGCCAAATTCCCCTCCCCCTAAAGCTTGAAGGCGACATAACTGATAGGGGGGTTTTGTGGTTCCTTGGAGATTTATTTGCTTGTTTCCGTCTGGGTGGGGGAGATTGGAAAAGGCTTATTAATAGGAAGGGGAGCTATAGGGAGGCTAGGATATGTGGGTAAGCTGGGAGGTCCTCCTGCGGGATGTAAATTGCAAGCTTTGCATAGTTGTGTATTTTCCTTCAATGAAAAGAAAGCTCAGACATAAGGTATTTCACTCCATTTGCCTTCCCTCTTACAGAAAAGGTCAAGCTGCAGGATAGTATTGCAATTTGTACTTCCCTCAGGTGGCCATTTTTCCCCATCAGAGAGAGAATATTGGGGCCAAGCCATAGTGCAGAAAAAAATGAGCTGCCTCTTTTTCAGGGCTTGTGGGTCAAATTGGTCCCAATGGCTTAGGATGCATTTCAAGGGTGAGCCTGTTGATTCCTGTGTGTTTCCCAACTGAAAGACAAAACCGCCTGTGGTTTTGGTTTGTTTGTTTCTCCCCCTGCCTAAGAACCCCCAATGGTCCCTGGACCCTGCTGATCAGAACAGTTGCACTCAATGATGCAGCAGCAGAAACACCTCTTGCCCAAGAACCTGCAACCATCCCTGGACCCTGCTGATTGGAATAGTTACACTCTCTGATGCAGCAGCAAAAACAACTCTTGCCCAAGAACCCTCAATGGTCCCTGGACCCTGCTGATCAGAATAGTTGTACTCACCAATGCAGCAGCAGAAACACTAGTTTTCCTCCTAGACCACAAGAAGGTCTAGGAAGGAAAGTCAGATTTAGTGGCCCTTACTGACGCATTCTCGAAAACCTGTTAGAGTCCTAAGCATTCTCCTGTTAGTATTGGGATCTTACCACTGTCCTATAAAGATGTTATGCCCCAAAAATGAAGTGGAGGGCCACACCCTGAGGGAGGGAAGGGATCTCCAGAGTTGGAAGAGTGACGCTTTTTGTCCTCACTTATATGAATAGGAAAGATACCATTTCTGAAGCTCCCCATATCCTAGCTTCAGGAATAGCTTTTGTTAGGTCTGCTAGTCTGAGGAGGGATCCTAAAATTCCAGAGAGTCCTCTCCTCAACGGGGCTTTGGGCAAAAATTACATCTTTCTGATTGGTGAGTCCGGGTGCCTAAAGAAGGGAATAGAGTCCTGGAGTTTATACTAGAAATCATTCTTATAGGAGAAAGTAGAAAAGCACCAGAGACAGGGAGTGGTTTTTAGAAGCAGGACTAGCCTCAGAGAACAGAGGTGAGAGGAAGTTTGTCTGACAGGCGTTAGGACCCAGGAGGCAAGGGTCAGGATAGATAGGATACATGGGCGAGTCTCTCTTGGGCGACATGACTTTGAGAATTCTGCTCATGGCCGCAGGGTCAACCAACTTGTTGTCGGGACCACAGAGCTGAATGGCTTTCCTCTCTGTTGATGCTCGGCTCAGCCCGGAAGTACAGGAAAAGCAGAAGCTGGTTCTAGGCAAACCAATGCTCCCAACTCCAAAGAGTTGGGTTTGTTCGAGAGCCCTTTCCCGGAAAGCCTGTCACTGGTGTCCTTAGTCCAGCAGCTGCACTAGTCACTTTTAACTGGCTGACAGGTGCCCAGTATTTAGTTCCTGAATTCTGCATGCTATAGATTTTATAGTAGAGCTCTTATAGTTGATTATACTTTCTAGATAACGTATTCTTGGTAATATATGTGGTTTTAAATATTTTCTCCATATTTCTAGCTTACTTTTCATTTTTTAGCAGGATACCTTACAGAAAAACAGTTTTAAATTTTGATAAAGCCCCATCTATTGATTTCGTTTGTTTTTTGTGTTTGTGTGTGTGTGTGTGTGTGTTTTTTTTTTTCTGAAACAGAGTCTTGCTCTGTTGCCCAGGCTGGAACGCAGTGGCATGATCTCGGCTCACTGCAAGCACCGCCTCCCGTGTTCAAGCCATTCTCCTGCCTCAGCCTCCCGAGTAGCTGGGACTACAGGCACCCACTACTGTGCCTGGCTAATTTTTTGCCCAGCCTGTGCTTTTGTTTTTTACGCATAGCGCTTTTGGTGTCATGTCTATGAACTCAGAACACAGACACCAGGCCCTAGCTCCTGATGATTTTCTCATATGTTTTTTCTAAATCTTTAACATGTAGACATGATTTAATTGGGGGTAAATGTTTTCATAAGATGTGAGAATTTGTTAAGTCTCTTTCTTGTGTCTTTTTCCTTTTGCTTCCTTTTTTATTTTGTTTGGTTTTGGTTTGTCTATGGATTTCCACTTTCTCCTGGACCATATTTTGAAAAGACTACAGACTATATTACCTCCATTGAATTATTATGATTCTTTGTGAAAATGAGTTGGCATAGGTGTTTTCCTATGTTGGTCAGGTTGGTCTGGAAATCCCGACCTCAGGTGATCTGCCTGCCTTGGCCTCCCAAAATGCTGGGATTACAGGCATGAGCGCCAGAGTTCTGCTCTCATATTCTTTTTTTTTTTTTCCTTCTTGCTTTAGGTTATTTTGGACTACTTTTTTAGATTCTTGAGGTGGGAACTGAGATTATTGGTTTCTGACCTTTTCTCTTTTTCAGTGTGTACATTTTGTACTATAAATAGTTTTCAAAGCACTGCTTTAGCTATGTACCAAAGATCTTGATATGTTATACTTTCATTTTCACTTAGTTGAATACATTTTTTATTTTCCTTAAGACATCTTTTTTGATCCACAGGTAATTTAAAAGTATGTTTTTTGTTTCCATGTGTTTGCAGTTGTACTGATTTTCTTCATGTTATTGATTTCTGGTTCAACTCCATTGCTTCCAGAGAACACGGTCTGTATGATTTCAATTCTTTCACATTTGTTGAGGTTTATTTTATGGTCCAGTGTGTGATCTACATTGGTAAATATTCCATGGACAGTTAAAAATCTATATTCTTCTATTTGGTGTGGTGGTCTGTAAAGGTATATTAGATCTTATTGGTGGATAGTTTTGTTGGGTTTCATTATCTGACTGAGGTTTTGTACAGTTATTTTATTAATATTTCAGAGATGGTTTGTGAAGTCTCAAAGTTTAACTGTGTATTTGTCTATTTCTCCTTCCAGTTCTGACCATTTTTGCTCTACTTATTTGTAACTCAGTTTTTTGATGCACACACATTTCGAGTTGCTATGTCTTCATTCTGAATCAACACTTTTATCTTTATTTAGTGTTTCTGTTTGTCTCTTAGAATATCCATTGCTCTGTGTATTTTATGTTATCTGATACTATAGCAATTTCTGCTTTCTTTGACAGATGTTTGTATGGTTTATTTTTTTCTGTTCTTCTATTTCAACCTTCCACTCTTGTAATATTTGCAGTAAGTTTCTAATAGGGAGAGGTGAAGCAAGCTGGACTTCTGGGTTGGGTAGGGACTTGAAGAACTTTTCTGTGGCTAGCTAGAGGTTTGTAAAATGCACCAATCAGTGCTCTGTAAAAACTCACCAATTGGCGCTCTGTGGCTAGCTAGAGGTTTATAAAATGGACCAATCAGCACTCTGTAAAATGGACCAGTCAGCACTCTGTAAAATGGACCAATCAGTACTCTGTAAAATGGACCAATCAGCAGGACATGGGCGGGGACAAGTAAGGGAATAAAAGCTGGCCACCCCAGCCAGCAGCAGAAACCTGCTTGGGTCCCCTCCCACACTGTGAAAGCTTTGTTCTTTTGCTCTTCACAATAAATCTTGCTACTGCTCACTCTTTGGGTCAGTGCCAACTTTAAGAGCTGTAACACTCACCACGAAGGTCTACAGCTTCATTCTTGAAGCCAGTGAGACCACAAACCCCACTGAAGTTAATGAGACCATGAACCCACCGGAAGGAACAAACTTTGGACACAATAGATAGTGTATCTATGGTTCATTATTTTTCACTCTGACGTTTGTCTTTTCAGACAATTTACATGTAATGCAATTATTAGTATGTGGGTTCTTATGAATGCCATCTGCTTTTTGTTTTCTTTTTTGATTCCTTTGGTTTTAGTTTCTTTGTTTGCTTTTCCTGTTTTTTGATGTGTTCCTTAAGCGATTTTTAGAATTCCATTTTGTAATCAATCTTTTTTTGGTGTTTCTCATTGTATAGTTTTTGTGATTTATCTATCTATTAACATAACTTATCATAGTCTACCGGTGCTGACATTTTGTCAATTTGACTAAAGTGTAGAAATTTTACCTCCTTTATATCCCTTTCCGTTCTTGCATTTAAATATACATTTTTTATTTTCTCTACTTGCATCAAGAACCACATCTGACAGTGTTGTAATTTTTGCCTCAACCATCAATCAAATTAATTTACAAAACTGAAGAAGAGAAGTCTGTTGTCTCAACCCATATTTTTAATCATTCTATTGTTTATTTTTTTCCTGATCATCCAAGATTTCTTCCATTATCCTTTCTATTCAAATTCAAGCACTTCCTTTAGCTCTTGTTTTAGGGTAAGTCTGCTAGCATCAAATTCTCTTGATTTTCCTTCCTCTAAGAATGTCATGGTCGGGTGTGATGGCTCATGCCTGTAACCCCAGCACTTTGAGAGGCCAAGGTAGGTGGATCCCCTGAGCTCAGGAGTTTGAGACCAGCCTGGGCTACATGAGCAAACCCAGTCTCAGCAGAAAATACAAAAATTAGCCAGGCATGGTGGTATGTGTCTGTAATCCCAGCTACTCAGGACACTGAGGTGTGAGGATCGCATGAGCCTGGGAGGCAGAGGCTGCAGTGAGCCGTGGTCACGCCACTGCTCTTGAGCCTGGATGAAAGAGCAAGACTCCATCTAAAAACAAAACCAAACAAAAATAAAGAATGTCATGATAGAACCTTCATTTTATAATAATATTTTTCTGGTTATACATTCTAGGTTAACATTACTTTCAGCCATTAAAATAACTTGTGCCACTTCTGACTGGTCTGCATGATTTCTAATGAGCAATCCACTGTTACTTAATTTATTTTCTCCTATGCATCAGATGTCATTTCTCTCTTGTTGCTTTCAAGAGTTTTTTGGGGGAGGCTGAGGCAGGAGAATGGCTTGAACCCAGGAGTAGGAGCTTTCAGTGAGCCGAGATCGCACCACTGCACTCCAGCCTGGGCGACAGAGTAAGACTCCGTCTCAAAAAAAAAAAAAAGAGTTTTTTGGTCTAAATTTCTTTGGATTTATCTTCTTTTGGGTTTGCACAGATTCTTGAATTTTTACATTTAAGACTTTGTCCAAATTTGGAAAGTAGTCAATCTTCCTTCAAACACTCTTTGGGCATCACCCATTTGTCATCTCCCTCTAAGACTTCAGTGACACAAATTTCATATCTTTTGTTATAATCTTATGGATTTATCAGCATGAAATAATGTTAACAACTTTACAAAATAAATTTGCATGTAATGAATAAATTGCTCAAAATGTACAATGTACTGAAGCTGACAAATAACATAAAATATGAAGAGTTCCACATCTCATAGAGAAAGTAAGCCCATTCCATAAAGTTTTCCCAAGACAAAACCGCAGGCTCATCCAGTTTCAGTAACTATTTTAAACTATTTAAGGAACAAACAACACTAACTTTACGCAAACTTCAAACATATTTGAAAAAAGGAAAAATACTTGCAGTTACGTTTAACGAGATCTGTGTAAACTTTACTTCAAGACCTGAAAAGAACTCTACAACAAATAGGAATTTATAGACCAATAACTCTTATGAGCCAAGTTCTTAAGAAAATATTAGCCAACTGAATTCAGTGGCATAAAAGATGGCTACTACATCATGACCAAGTGAAGTTTATCCCAGAAATTCAAGGTTGTTGGAACATTTGAGACTCAGTTAGTGTGATTCACTACATTAACTGAAGGAAGGAGAATACACATGCAACCACCTTAATAGAGTCTTGAAGTATTATTTGACAGAATTCAGCACTTGGCCTTAATTTTTTAAAAATCTGGCCAGGAGCGGTGGCTCATGCCTGTAATACCAGCACTTTGGGCGGCTGAGTTGGGTGGATCACCTCAGGTCGGGAGTTCGAGACCAGCCTGACCAAAAGGCGAAACCCTGTCTCTAGCAAATACACAAAATTAGCCGGGCGTGGTGCTGCGTGCCTGTAGCCTCAGGTACTCAGGAGGCTGAGGCAAGAGAATCGCTTGAACCTGGAAGGCAGAGGTTGCAGTGAGCTGAGATCGTGCCACTGCACTCCAGCCTGGGCAACAAGAGCAAAGCTCTGTCTCAAAAATAAATAAATAAATAAAAATCTGTTTGCGAACTTGTATTTAAAAGGTATTTCTTCAATCTAAGAAGTGATTGCTAACCTATTGCACACATTAGTCTCAGCAGTGAAATATGTAAAACTGTCTCTTTCATATCTGGAGTAGTAGAGGAGTCAGACCATGAAAATGGCAAGAAAGACATATGAAAGAGATACTAATTGCATCCACGTAAAATTGTCATTATTTACTCTTGACCTAATCAGGTACTTGAAAAATAAAAATAATAGACAAACTCATAGATTTAATAAGTAAATATAAATAAGGTTGCTGGATACAAAGTCACTCTACATTAAACCAATTACGTTATTGATATAGTTTGGATGTTTGTCCCCTCCAAATCTCATGTTAAAACGTAACCTCCAATGTTGTATCCTTTTATAATACAAGCATTTAAAGCTAAATATTTTTTCTAAGGACTGCCTTGGTTGCATAAGAAAAATTTTAAATATTCATTTTGGTATTATTTTATTTAAAATTATGTCCTAATTTTCCTTCTGATTTTATTTGACAAGCCACAGGTTATTTAGAAATGTATTATTTTACTTCCAAAAATTTGGGCAATGTTCTTCATCTTACTTATTTGTAATTTGATAAGACTGTGTTCAGATAATATACTCTGTATGATTTTATTCTTGTAAAAGTAATTGAGACTACTTTTATAGTCATAGTATTTGTTCTATTTCATGAATAATCTTTGTGCAATGTAAATAAATAAACATTCTGTAGTTCTCAGATATCAGTATATATGTCAATTATAAATGCCAGCTAAGTCAAGATGGTTGAAAGATTGTTCCTATCTTGATTTACTTCCTGATCTTTGTTTGCACGAAGCTACAGAGATGTTTGTTGTCTTCTATGTACGGCCCTAGTTCCCACACCACCAGCATGAAGCCAGAAAAAGTTCTGGAAGGTGACTCAGCTGGCAGGGTAAAGTAGATGTATATTATTCAGGGGGCCTCTATAGATTGTAATCTATCACACAAGCCCACAGGGCTATTTACAACTCAGCTGCTTTGTCTTCAGTCCCTGTCTCCCTTTCTCAGCCAGGCTCAATTTTCCCCCCATGTTAAGATTCCGTAGATGGACCAAACAATAAGAGTGGACATTTGTCCCTGCTCACCTAAGTGGAATTTGTTCATCTCTGGAATTTGGAATTTTTATACTTTTTGATCTATGGCTCATTAAAATTTTAAAAATAAGATTATTTTCCAGTTTATCCATTTAGTCTAGTTTATATTTTTTTTGTTCTTATAGTAACAGTGACAATTCTTGTAATTTTCTACCTCCTAATTGGCATTATGTTCTATGATTTTTTTCCAATCCGTGTTGATAGTCCTACATAATTTACTTAAAGCCCTGAATATTATTCCTTTCTACGTCTATACCACAATTTACCTTTCTTCCAAATATTGAGAATGTTTATTTTCTCTCCTGTTTCATTTTTTATATGTCATGATGGACATACAAGAAAAAATGTACTAAGACTGTAAAAACTTAGAGTGGAAATACTGTATTATCCAAATGACTCACAGGGTTACACCAATATATGCTCACAGTGCCCCACACAGCACCAAATGTCATCCTGCAGTGTGCTGTCACTTCACATACTGCATGGTTTTTTATGATGTGCAAAAGTGTTATAATCAAGACAAATTAATCAGTTTTTCTTTTAGAATTTGGAAATGTTTTTGTTATTGCAAACCATGGCTCAAAACGACCAATTTTATATTTCTTTGGGCTCATGTAGGATTGTTTCCTTAAGACAGATGTTTAGAATGGGATTTTTGTTGTTTTCATCCAGCACGTAACAATTGCATTTTGAGTTTTAGTAGCACACTGCCATCTACTCACAATCTTAATAATATAGGAGAATCTATTCCCATAGAATCTTCTAAGTCCTTGATTTTAAAACAAACTATTGTATTTTCCAGTTTTGGCGGAGGGAGAAATTGCTATTTGAATTTGGATTTTTCCGTTCGTTGGTGAGTTTGAGCAAATATTTATTGACTATTGGAATATTCTCTTCTATGCTCAGTTTATATGCTTTGCCCAATTTTCCATGGCATTTCCATTAATTAATTTATTGATCAGTTAACAATTTTCCTAAGAAAGTTAGCCCATTGTCTGTCTTATGTGATCAAAATTTTTTCTGAGCTTCATATACTTCTTTTAATTTTGTTATTTTCTTCATGAAAAGAAGTAAGTAATTTTCTTAAAATATTTTTTCATTTGTGTCTTCTGGATTTTGTCTTGCTTACAAAGTCTTATTTTTTAAAAAAAGAATTATTTTAACAAGATTCCTAAGGCTTAATTTACATACTATGAGATTCATTCATTCTATATGTAAAATTTAATGATTTTAGTAAATCAATAGATTTGTGCAATTATCACAACAATCCAGTTTTTTAACATTTCTGTTATGTCCAAAATTTATCTATTTATAGTTAATTCCCACCGATACCCCAAGCCCTAGGCACCCAATGATCTGCTTTTTGCATCTATCAATTTACCTCTTCTACATATTTCAAGTAAATGAAATCATACGTTATGTAACCTTTTGTGTCCAGTTTCCTTCACTTACTTAACATTATTGAAGTTCATCAGTTTGTAGTTTGTCCCTTTTCATTTCGTTTCTTTTTGTTTATTTTCTCTTTTTTTAATTATGTAAATGTATAAGGTACAAGTGTAGCTTTATTACCTGCGTAGACTGTGTAGTGTTGAAGTCAGTGTTCCACAGTATCCATCACCTAAATCACATGCATTGTACCCATTAAGTAATCTCTCATCATCTAGAGTGCAAGGGTTGAAACTTGCCTTGGGAAAACTACCCTCATGTTCATGGTATCTCCTCTGCCAGATAAGTCTAGTTTTGTTCCCTTTTATTGTTGAATGATATTGCCTTGCATGGATGTAGTTGATCCATTTTGTTTGTCCATTTACTAGTTGAAGGATATTTGGATTGTTTTCAGTTTGGGCCAACTACAGCTAAGGCTGTTCCGAACACTTGAACACATATCTTTGTGAGGACATACGTTTTTATGTCTCTTAGGTAGATTCCAAGGAGTGAAATTGCTGGGTTATATGGCAAACATATGTTAAACTTTTAAAGAAATTGACAAATTTCCAGGTATTTGTAAAATCATACACTCCCACCAGCAACACGTAAGGGTTTAGAAAGTCTATTCATCTTCAAACATAATTATAATGATGATGACAGTATTAGAAATAACATCTGTCTTGGGGATTTTATATTTTCTCTTGATGTTTCAATTTTTATTCATCCAGGATCCATTCGGTGAAAGAAATGACTTTGGAATACAACTTACCACAAACTGAAACTAAATCTCAACTCTTTCTGGTTCTAATTCTAGACTCTGTTCTACTAGCATATTTAATAAAAAATAAAGAATCAGTAACAAATGTATATATATATTTTTTGAGACGGAGTCTCACTCTGGCGCCCAGGCTGGGGTGCAGTGGCGTGATCTGGGCTCACTGCAAGCTCCACTGCCCGGGTTCACGCCATTCTCCCACCTCAGCCTCCAGAGTAGCTGGGACTACAGGTGCCCACCACCATGCCCGGCTAATTTTGTTTTTTGTATTTTTGGTAGAGATGTGGTTTCACCGTGTTAACCAGGATGGTCTTGATCTCCTGACCTTGTGATCCACCTGCCTTGGCCTCCCAAAGTGCTGCGATTATAGGCGTGAGCCACCGTGCCCGGCCAACAAATGTATTTTTAAAAATAAATGTATAGTATGTTTTAGCACCTTATAGAGCTAGTCATTCCTTATTCTACTTTTTTCAAAAATTTCCCTGTAAAAACAACATGTCAGCATACCTAATTGAGTTCTAAAATCAATCCTTTCTCCTTGCTTTTTTGTTTTATTCTAATTGAGTTAATGGCAGACATTTAATGCTCAATACATATGTATTAAAAAAGACCCAAAACGCTGAATGGAGGGTGCCTATCAGGAATCTCTAGGCCTTCATATGGAATTTAACTACAAATACTAACAACCTAAGAGTACCACAATCTATCATTTCCCTACTCTGAAATCAACCTCTCCTACTCCATCCACCATTTCTTTATTTTTAAAAATATATGATTTTGCTCCTTTTCTCCCCATGTGCATCAGGCCCACTCTACAAAGCCAGGTTGAATCCTGGCTTGTCTGAGTCTGTGTGATCCCACGGTCATTCCAGTGAGAAAGTGGTTACTGAGAACACTCTGAAACAGTGTAGTTGCTCCTTATAAAGGCACACAGGAAAGAAGGAGTATCCTTTTCTCGCCTTTGGGAGTTGTTGTGAGAGAATAAGAAACCTAAAGCTGCTGCAGGGATCCTCCGACCATCTCAGGAAAGCTGACGTGCTGTGTGATAGAGAGATGAGCTTTGAAGTTCCAGGATCGCTGGTGATGCCACCAGCATGATGAGTTGAGCAACCCTGGAGATGCCCAGCCTTGGATGTATTGGCTATGTGAGATAATGGGTTAAAGAAAATAAATCCCACTAGATGGGATTTCTTGTTATTCGCAGCAGAAGCATCTTCATTCAAATATTCATCCCACACATTTTAGTTCTACACCACAAGTCTCATATAAAATGAGACAAATCATGTCCTCAACTTAGGGAACAAGGCTTATTTGTTGCAACTCTGGGATCAAACAGAACAGACATAATTATCAGCTTAATATATTCCTATAGGATTTATGTTCCTATAGGATTTATATGTACTTATACTGCTATGTATGTACAAGTAACATATAACTTAAAATAAAATATGCATAAAATAAATATTGAATTTGATTGAAAATAAGTTGTCTCTGACAGTAGAGAAATTGTGCTCAAATGGTTATTACTTTGAAATAGACTTCTGCATTGATTATGTACTTTTTAGATTTGACATATATGAGACTGACTCTCAGAACACAATGGAGAACCCTCCATCTTCTAAATTTGTCTTTCTCTGAAATCTGTACAAGTCCTTCGGTAATACTATATTACTGAAGTCTCTGGAATGAAAAACCATATACTAATAGATACACAATATTGTAGATGGGATTAAGAAAGAGTTCTGGGCCACGAGCGGTGGCTCATGAGTGTGGTCCCAGCACTTTGGGAGGCCAAGGCGGGTGGATCATCAGGTCAGGAGATCAAGACCATCCTGGCTAACACAGTGAAATCCCATCTTTACTAAAAATACAAAAAATTAGCCGGGCGTGGTGGTGGGTGCCTGCAGTCCCAGCTACTTGGGAGGCTGAGGCAGGAGAATGTCTTGAACCCGGGAGGCAGAGTTTGCAGTGAGCCGAGATCGCACCACTGCACTCCAGCCTGAGCAACAGAGGGTGACTCTGTCTCAAAAAAAAAAAAAAAAAAAAAAAAGTTTTGATGTACTTGTACTTGCTAGCTGGTTTCTCATCTCAGGTTGGCCACGTTTTTTTCGGTTGTTACAGTCTCTTCTCAGTTTTTAAGCATTGCCTTTGTAAATGTTAGGTTTACTTTTTTAATTGACAAGTAAAAATTTTATAGTGTATTTATGTTGTAGAGCTGAAGTTTTGATATATGCCCATAGTGTGGAATGTCTAAATCAAGCTATTTAACATATGCATTACCTCACTTACTTATGACTTATACACGAAAACCATTATTCTACTGGGAAATAATCTTCTCTTTTTCTTTTCTTTTTTTTTCTTTGTCCTTGGAGCCAAATGGAACAGATGATTTTTTTCCACTTTCTTTTTATTATTATTATTATTATTATTATTATTATTATTATACCTTAAGTTTTGGGCTACATGTGCAGAATGTGCAGGTTTGTTACACAGGTATACATGTGCCATGGTGGTTTGTTGCACCCATCACCCCATAATCCACATTACGTATTTCTACTAATGCTATCCTTCCCCTAGCCCCCTACCCACTGACAAGCCCCGGTGTGTGTGTGATGTTCCCCTCCTTGTGTCCATGTGTTCTCATTGTTCAACTCCCAGTTATGAGTGAGAACATGCAGTGTGTGGTTTTCTGTCCTTGTGTTAGTTTGCTGAGAATGATGGTTTCCAGCGTCATTCATGTCCCTGCAAAGGACATGAACTCATCCTCTTTTATGCTGCATAGTATTCCATGGTGTATATGTGCCACATTTTCTTTATCCATTCTATTATTGATGGGCATTTGGGTTGGTTCCAAGCCTTTGCTATTGCGAATAGTGCTGCAATAAACATATGTGTGCATGTGTATTTATAGTAGAATGATTTATAATCATTTGGGTATATACCCAGTAATGGGATTGCTGGGTTAAATGGTATTTCTAGCTCTAGATCCTTGAGGAATTGCCACACTGTCTTCCACAATGGTTGAACTAATTTACATTCCCACCAACAGTGTAAAAACTTTCCTATTTCTCCACATCCTCTCCAGCATCTGTTGTTTCCCGACTTTTTAATGATCGCCATTCTAACTCGTGTGAGATGGTATCTCATTGTAGTTTTGATTTGCATTTCTCTAATGACCAGTGATGATGAGCTTTTTTTCATATGTTTGTTGGCTGCATAAATGTCTTCTTTTGAGAAGTGTCTGTTCATATCATTCACCCACTTTTTGATTTTGTTTTTCCTTGTAAATTTGTTTAAGATATTTGTAGATTCTGGATATTAGCCCTGTGTCAAATTGATAGATTGCAAAAATTTTCTCCCATTCTGTAAGTTGCCTGTTCACTCTGATACTAGTTTCTTTTGCTGTGCATAAGCTCTTTAGTTAAATCAGATCACATTTGTCTATTTTGGCTTTTGTTGCCATTTCTTTTGGTGTTTTAATCATGAAGTCTTTGCCCATGCCTATGTCCTGAATGATATTGCCTAGGTTTTCTTCTAAGGCTTTTATGGTCTTAGGTCTTACATTTAAGTTTTTAATCCATCTTGAGTTAATTTTTGTATGAGGTGTAAGAAAGGGATCCAGTTTCAGCTTTCTGCATATGGCTAGCCAGTTTTCCCAACATCATCTATTAAATAGGGAATCCTTTTCTGTTGCTTGTTTTTGTCACGTTTGTCAAAGATCAGATGTTTGTAGATGTGTGGCGTTATTTCTGAGGCCTCTGTTCTGTTCCATTGGTCTATATATCTGTTTTGGTACCAGTACCATGCTGTTTTTGTGACTATACCCTTGTAGTAAAGTTTGAAGTCAGGTAGCGTGATGCCTCTAGCTTTGTTCGTTTTGCTTTGGATTGTCTTGGATATGCCAGCTCTTTTTTGGTTCCATATGAAATTTAAAGTAGTTTTTTCCAATATTGTGAAGAAAGTCAATGGTAGCTTGATGGGGATAGCATTGAATCTATAACTTACTTTGGGCAGTATGGCCATTTTGATGATATTGATTCTTCGTATCTATGAACATGGAATGTTTTTCCATTTGTGTCCTCTCTTATTTCCTTGAGGTGATTTGTAGTTCTCCTTGAAGAGGTCCTTCACATCCCTTGTAAGTTGGATTCCTAAGTATTTTATTCTCTTAGTAGCAATTGTGAATGGGAGCTCACTCATGATTTGGCTCTCTGTTTGTTATTGGTGTATAGGAATGCTTGTGATTTTTGCACATTGATTTTGTATCCTGAGACTTTGCTGAAGTTGTTTATCAGCTTAAGGAAATTTTGGGCTGAGATGGGGTTTTCTAAATTTATAATCATGTCATCTGTAAACAGGGACAATTTGACTTCCTCTTTTCCTGATTGAATACCCCTTATTTCTTTTTCTTGCCTGATTGCCCTGGCCAGAACTTCCGATACTATGTTGAATAGGAGTGGTGAGAGAGGACATCGTTGTCTTGTGCCAGTTTTCAAAGGGAGTGCTTCCAGGTTTTGCTCATTCAGTATGATATTGGCTGTGGGTTTGTCATAAATAGCTCTTATTATTTTGAGATGTGTTCCATCAATGCCTAGTTTATTGAGAGTTTTTAGCATGAAGGGTTGTTGAATGTTGCCCAAGGCCTTTTCTGCATCTATTGAGATAACCATGTGGTTTTTGTCATTGGTTCTATTTATGTGAATGGATTACGTTTATTGATTTGCATATGTTGGACCAGATGATTTTTAACTCCATGTTTGAGAAAAATTTAATAACGTAATGTGTTTGTGGCACACAGGATGTACAGATGCACGGGAGGCCGTAGGGTTAGGTAAAGGGGGCCACAAAAGTTTAAGATTAGGCACTGCCATCAATGCTCGGACTTCAGACCAAGTGAAGGGGCTGAGGAAGCCATAAGGGAGGATATTTTCTGCAGAGTTGTGGAACCAATAGCAACCAGGCCCTGAGAAAGCACTCTCTTGTGGAAGAATAAGAGCCAAGCGGTGGATAAGCTTTTTGATGTGCTGCTGGATTCGGTTTGCCAGTATTTTATTGAGGATTTTTGCATCAATGTTCATCAGGGATGTTGGTCTAAAATTCTCTTTTTTGGTTGTGTCTCTGCCCGGCTTTGGTATCAGGATGATGCTGGCCTCATAAAAATGAGTTAGGGAGGATTCCCTCTTTTTCTATTGATTGGAATAGTTTCAGAAGGAATGGTACCAGTTCCTCCTTGTACCTCTGGTAGAATTCGGCTGTGAATCCATCTGGTCCTGGACTCTTTTTGGTTGGTAAGCTATTGATTATTGCCACAATTTCAGAGCCTGTTATTGGTCTATTCAGAGATTCAACTTCTTCCTGGTTTAGTCTTGGGAGGGTGTCTGTGTCGAGGAATTTATCCATTTCTTCTAGATTTTCTAGTTTATTTGCGTAGAGGTGTTTGTAGTATTCTCTGATGGTAGTTTGTATTTCTGTGGGATCAGTGGTGATATCCCCTTTATCATTTTTTATTGCATCTATTTGATTATTCTCTCTTTTCTTCTTTATTAGTCTTGCTAGCAGTCTATCAATTTTGTTGATCCTTTCAAAAAACCAGCTCCTGCATTCATTACTTTTTTGAAGGGTTTTTTGTGTCTCTATTTCCTTCAGTTCTGCTCTGATTTTAGTTATTTCTTGCCTTCTGCTAGCTTTTGAATGTGTTTGCTCTTGCTTTTCTAGTTCTTTTAATTGTGATGTTAGGGTGTCAATTTTGGATCTTTCTTGCTTTCTCTTGTGGGCATTTAGTGCTATAAATTTCCCTCTACACACTGCTTTGAATGTGTCCCTGAGATTCTGGTATGTTGTGTCTTTGTTCTCATTGGTTTCAAAGAACATCTTTATTTCTGCCTTCATTTCGTTATGTACCCAGTAGTCATTCAGGAGCAGGTTGTTCAGTTTCCATGTCGTTGAGCGGTTTTGAGTGAGTTTCTTAATCCTGAGTTCTAGTTTGATTGCACTGTGGTCTGAGAGACAGTTTGTTACAATTTCTGTTCTTTTACATTTGCCGAGGAGAGCTTTACTTCCAACTATGTGGTCAATTTTGGAATAGGTGTGGTGTGGTGCTGAAAAAAATGTATATTCTGTTGATTTGGGGTGGAGAGTTCTGTAGATGTCTATTAGGTCCACTTGGTGCAGAGCTGAGTGCAATTCCTGGGTATCCTTGTTAACTTTCTGTCTCGTTGATCTGTCTAATGTTGACAGTGGGGTGTTAAAGTCTCCCATCATTATTGTGTGGGAGTCTAAGTCTCTTTGTAGGTCACTCAGGACTTGTTTTATGAATCTGGGTGCTCCTGTATTGGGTGCATATATATTTAGGATAGTTAGCTCTTCTTGATGAATTGATCCCTTTACCATTATGTAATGGCCTTCTTTGTCTCTTTTGATCTTTGTTGGTTTAAAGTCTGTTTTATCAGAGACTAGGATTGCTACCCCTGCCTTTTTTTGTTTTCCATTTGCTTGGTAGATCTTCCTCCATCCTTTCATTTTGAACCTATGTGTGTCTCTGCAGGTGAGATGGGTTTCCTGAATGCAGCACACTGACAGGTCTTGACTCTTTATCCAATTTGCCAGTCTGTGTCTTTTAATTGGAGCATTTAGTCCATTTACATTTAAAGTTAATATTGTTATGTGTGAATTTGATTCTGTCATTATGATGTTAGCTGGTTATTTTGCTCGTTAGTTGATGCAGTTTATGCAAGGCTCGTTCAATATATGCAAATCAATAAATGTAATCCAGCATATAAACAGAACCAAAGACAAAAACCACATGATTATCTCAATAGATGCAGAAAAGGCCTTTGACAAAATTCAACAACCCTTCATGCTAAAAACTCTCAATAAATTAGGTATTGATGGGATGTATTTCAAAATAATAAGAGCTATATATGACAAACCCACAGCCAATATCATACTGAATGGGCAAAAACTGGAAGCATTCCCTTTGAAAACTGGCACAAGACAGGGATGCCCTCTCTCACCACTCCTATTCAACACAGTATTGGAAGTTCTGGCCAGGGCAATTAGGCAGGAGAAGGAAATAAAGGGTATTCAATTAGGAAAAGAGGAAGTCAAATTGTCCTTGTTTGTAGATGATATGATTGTATATCTAGAAAACCCCATCGTCTCAGCCCAAAATCTCCTTAAGCTGATAAGCAACTTCAGCAAAGTCTCAGGATACAAAATCAATGTACAAAAATCACAAGCATTCTTACACACCAATAACAGACAAACAGAGAGTCAAATCATGAGTGAACTCTCATTCACAATTGCTTCAAAGAGAATAAAATACCTAGGAATCCAACTTACAAGGGATGTGAAGGATCTCTTCAAGGAAAACTACAGACCACTGCTCAATGAAATAAAAGAGGATACAAAGAAATGGAAGAACATTCCATGCTCATGGGTAGGAAGAATCAATATCATGAAAATGGCCATACTGCCCAAGGTAATTTATAGATTCAATGCCATCCCCATCAAGGTACCAATGACTTTCTTCACAGAATTGGAAAAAACTACTTTAAAGTTCATATGGAATCAAAAAAGAGCCCACATCACCAAGTCAATCCTAAGCCAAAAGAACAAAGCTGGAGGCATCACGCTACCTGACTTCAAACTATACTACAAGGCTACAGTAACAAAAACAGCATGGTACTGGTACCAAAACAGAGATATAGATCAATGGAACAGAACAGAGCCCTCAGAAATAACGCCGCATGTCTACAACTATCTGATCTTTGACAAACCTGAGAAAAACAAGCAATGGGGAAAGGATTCCCTGTTTAATAAATGGTACTGGGAAAACTGGCTAGCCATATGTAGAAAGCTGAAACTGGATCCCTTCCTTACACCTTATACAAAAATTAATTCAAGATGGATTAAAGACTTACATGTTAGAACTAAAACCATAAAAACCCTAGAAGAAAACATAGGCAATACCATTCAGGACATAGGCATGGGCAAGGACTTCATGTCTAAAACACCAAAAGCAATGGCAACAAAAGCCAAAATGGACAAATGGGATCTAATTAAACTAGAGAGCTTCTGCACAGCAAAAGAAACTACCATCTGAGTGAACAGGCAACCTTCAGAATGGGAGAAAATTTTCACAACCTACTCATCTGACAAAGGGCTAATATCCAGAGTCTACAATGAACTCAAACAAATTTACAAGAAAAAAACAAAGAACCACATCAGAAAGTGGGCAAAGGACATGAACAGACACTTCTCAAAAGAAGATATTTATGCAGCCAAAAAACACATGAAAAAATGCTCACCATCACTGACCATCAGAGAAATGCAAATCAAAACCACAATGGGATACCATCTCATACCAGTTAGAATGGCAGTCATTAAAAAGTCAGGAAACAACAGGTGCTGGAGAGGATGTGGAGAAATAGGAACACTTTTACACTGTTGGTGGGACTCTAAACTAGTTCAACCATTGTGGAAGTCAGTGTGGCAATTCCGCAGGGATCTAGAACTAGAAATACCATTTGACCCAGCCATCCCATTACTGGGTATATACCCAAAGGACTATAAATCATGCTGCTATAAAGACACATGCACACGTATGTTTATTGCGGCACTATTCGCAATAGCAAAGACTTGGAACCAACCCAAATGTCCATCAATGATAGACTGGATTAAGAAAATTTGGCACATATATACCATGGAATACTATGCAGCCATAAAAAATGATGAGTTCGTGTCCTTTGTAGGGACATGGATGAAATTGGAAATCATCATTCTCAATGAACTATCGCAAGGACAAAAAACCAAACACCGCATGTTCTCACTCAGAGGTGGGAATTGAACAATGAGAACACATGGACACAAGAAGGGAAACATCACACTCAGGGGACTGTTGTGGGGTGGGGGAAGGGGGGAGAGATAGCATTAGGAGATATACCTAATGCTAAATGACAAGTTAATGGGTGCAGCACACCAGCATGGCACATGTATACATATGTAACTAACCTGCACATTGTGCACAAGTACCCTAAAACTTAAAGTATAATTAAAAAAAAAAAAAGAGAGAATCCTAAAAGCAGCCAAAGAAAAGCGTACATTGCCTGCAGGGAACAAGGATAGAAATGTTTATTGACTTCCCATCATAAATAGTGCAGATCAGAATACAACTGACTAACATCTTTAAAATGCTAAAATAAAACTACCACTATGTACCCAGAAAATTTTAAAATTAAAATTTTACAAATAAATAAAATAAAACTAAAAAAAAAAAAAAAGAGCCAAGCGGAAAAGCTTTTCCTCCTGCAAAGCTGGGGCAGAAGTTTCCTCCTTGAATGTGGTCATCTTCACTTCAGTTCAGGAGTCCTGCAGAAGACACAGGAGAGTGTTGTTTTCAGACATGGCTCTACTAACAGCTTCTTTCCCCCTCTTTCAGGGACTCAGATGAAAGCAGTACAGGAAGAAGAAAAACAAGTTGCTAAGTCTCCCTGAGCCAATACTACTGCAGAGCACTGGCCTTTTATTTTTTATTTATTCATTTTATCAGATGGAGTTTCACTCTTGTTGCCCAGGCTGGAGTGCAGTGGTGCGCTTACCACAACCTCTGCCTCCCAGCTTCAAACCATTCTCCTACCTCAGCCTCCTCAGTAGCTGGAATTACAGGCATGCGCCACCACGCATGGCTAATTTTTTTTTGTATTTTTAGTAGAGACAAGGTTTCTCCTTGTTGGTCAGGCTGGTCTCAAACTCCTGACCTCAGGTGATCCACCCACCTCAGCCTCCCAAAGTGCTGAGATTACAGGCGTGAGCTACTGTGCCTGGCCAAGCACAGGCCTTTTCTAAGTAGAGAGGAGTTTTGGCGTAAATTGCCTGATCAGAAATTTGGATCCAAAGTCTTTCCTATTATTTCTGTCTCATCCCTTATCACCTCTACCATCATTCTAGGAAAGCGAATCTGTTTCTAAAAGAGAATGAAAAGGTATTACCTGTTGGCTGAAGTCCAGAGTGTCCTGGGAAAAAGGGGAAAAGATACACATTTAAAAGATATGGAAGCAGGCTGGGTGCGGTGGCTCATGCCTGTAATCCCAGCACTTTGGGAGGCCGAGTTGGGTGGATCACAAGGTCAAGAGATAGAGACCATCTTGGCCAACATGGTGAAACCCCATCTCTACTAAAAATACAAAAATTAGCTGGGCATGGTGGCAGGTGCCTATAGTCCCAGCTACTCGGGAGGTTGAGGCAGGAGAATCACTTGAATCCGGGAGAAGGAGGTTGCAGTGAGCCAAGATCACGCCACTGCACTCCAGCCTGGGGACAGAGCGAGACTCCGTCTCAAAAAAAAGAAAAAAGAAAAAAGATATGGAAGCAAATCTGTCCTCCAACACAATATCCCAGCCCCAGATCTCCCACCTGAGATTTCTCTAACACCACAACTTACATGAACCAGGGCAGAGAGGAGCAGAAACTCACCACGTGACCCCTGAAGCGTGAAGTGTCTGTCATAGAATCCAGTGTAATTGTATTAACCTTAGTGGCTTTTCCTTAATTTGCTCCAGGATCTCCAACCAAAGGATCCCTACTTGTTAGCCTTTCTTTTATCTCTGCAGGCCACAAGCTATTATGCTTTGACATAGTAACCATGCACTGATGATTTCAGGATGAGCGGGACATTGGAGGTCGTTTTGGGAAAGAAAGGCTTTATCCAGGGCCACTCATATACTGAGAACTAACCTCGGCAAAGCCATATTTCCTCCTCCAGAAAAGTCTATGGAGAGAGCCAGCTACGAAAGGCTCCTCACCTTTCTGATTCCTGAAGTAGAGAAACAGCCCGGCCCCAAGGAAGAGCAGGCCCAGCACGAAGCCCCCGACTCCACTCAGCATCTTGCTCTGTGCAGATTCAGACTGTGCTCCTGAGAGTGGAAGCCAGGTTTAGTGATTTTTATCCCAAATTGAACCTCTGTAATTGAGATACTGAGATTCAGAGCTTTGAAAATGGGGAAGAAGGCTGCCCTGCAAGAACTAAAATAACTAGCTATTTCTGGGGAAAAAAGGTTTTCAGATCACACTGAACAGTTACAAGGTTAGGCCTCAAACTCATTCAAATATTACAGCCTTGATGTAAGGCATGACTTTGACATCTGATCCACAGAAATCCTGAGACTCAAAGAGGTTTAGTAGTTTGTCTAGAGTGACAGAGCTAATAAAAGGCAAAGTTGGGATTGGACTCCCCTCATGCCAGGAAGGCCCCTACAGTTCTCCTCTTCTCAGATCACAACAAACAACCCAGAGCAACAGCAGCAGAAATACAATCTCAGACCCAGAGGCAGGGCCTGGAGCCAGGGAGAGTGGGTGACCCTGACCTGTGCCATCATGGGGAGGTTCAAAAGAGAGACAGCCTCTCCCGCCTGGCAGGCATGACTGCTTTACCATGGGGTACAGGTGCTTTTAGAAATGATTACAGGGCTATCCCCAGTGACCTGTGCTGATGGAGATGAGAATATGGAGCAAATGAAAATAGGATGTGGGAGAGGAGAAACCTGACACTCAGGGATTAGCACAGTCCTGTACTTACTGGGTGAAAAATTTATGAAGTCAGAAAGCTGCTAACTCCATTGCACCGTGAGAGGGCTCATCATGCTTGGATGCTCCACTTGGCAGGTGTAAACCTCTCCACTCTGAGGAACTGTTTCCAGCATCATCAGTGTCTGGAAGGTCCAGTCTCCATTCTGGATCAGGCCTGTGGACACCACCCCAGCCTTCTCTTCCTGGCC